>NC_000003.12:170220725-170372240 GCF_000001405.40 Homo sapiens | reverse complement strand
CCTTAATGGAAACAAAGCCATGTAAAGTTGGTAATATAACATCCCCTTTAGAACTTGAAGAAAAATACACTGATAAAAATCCTGTTAATCCTGTGACATTTTATACTGAAGGTCTGTGATGCCCAATAAACTTAATACTGCAACTACATGGAAATCTCAGTGTCATACACATTATTTTCCACTATTTGTCAAAAATTTTAATCTGTATAATTCTAAGGCTTTACTTTTCTATCTCATTTTAGCATATATGCTTAACAATTTACAGTCCTGGATTATTCTGGCCTTCAAATAATGTAAACTGGCAATTTCAAAACAGAGATTGATTAATCTTCCTATGTGCAATGTCCTCTATTTTCCATTTTATTCTACTTCAGGTTTTTATGTTTTTTAATGCTGGTGACCCACTAAATTGATTTCATGACCCTCCTGGCGGTTTTCAATTGAGGTTCTCAGGAGAATTTAAAATGCCCCAAGGCATCCATTGTATGTAATGAATTACCTTCTCTCCAGTGCATTTAGAATGGTACCAGTACGATCACTGGGAGAAATGACAAAACCAGCACTCAATTCATTTTCTGTAGTGCTTAAATCTCCCCTTATGGAACCCTGCTTGAGATGGCTACATGAATGACAAATTGCAGTTAGAAAAACACTGCTCTAAATGAACTGTCTTAAAATTGGTCCAAAAGTATTATTCCAGTAACTACTCCTTTTGTTTTTCTTTTTCTTTTTTTGAGACAGAGTCTCACTCTGTTGCCCAGGCTGGAGTGCAGTAGCACGATCTCCGCTCATTGCAACCTCCGATTCCTGGATTCAAGCAATTCTCCTGCCTCAGCCTCCCAAGTAGCTCTAATTACAGGCGTGTGCCACCATGCCCAGCTATTTTTTTTATTATTATTTTTAGTAGAGATGGGGTTTCACCATGTTGGCCAGGCTGGTCTCGAACTCCTGACCTCAAATCATCTGTCTGCCTTGGCCTCCCAAAGTGCTGGGATTACAGGCGTTAGCCACCGCACCAGGCCTACTACTCCTTTATTAATACTTATGCACTCTAGAAATGCTTTTGCACAAACACAGTTACAATTACATACGCAAATGAATAAATTCCAGAGGCAGTTATCACATGGTGCAATTATGAGGAAATTGTGTTTTCTTCTTTGTACTTTTTTAGTATTTACTACAATGGGCCTATATTGTTTTCATAATCACACAAAAAAATTTAACATAGACTATAAAAAGCATAGAAGTCTTAAATCATTTTTATTAAGTTTTGTTTTGTCTTGTTTTTTTTGAGAAAAACAGGGTCTTGCTCTGTTGCCCAAGCTTGGAGTGCAGAGGTGCCATCACAGCTCACTGCGGTCTCAACCTCCCCAACTCAAGCGATACTCCCATCTCAGCCCCACAAGTAGTTGGGACTACAGGCATGCCCCACCAAGCCCAGCTAATTGTTTTTTTCAATCTTTTGTAAAGACAGGGTCAAACTATGTTACCCAAACTTTTAGTAAGTTTCTTAAGCTTTTTAATTCCTTGTTCCCATAAAAAATGCAAAATATGTACTTTTAATGCCATTTGAAATCTCAGAATAAATTCAACATCACAAATAAAAACGAAATGCTGGTTTGTTTTAAAACTAAACCTGTTTCCCTCTTCGAGAATCACTGGTAACTTTATAGGGCCACTTAGACTTCACTGTTATCCAAACCTTTATTAGGCATCTACCACATTCTAGATTCGAAGACTGTAAGATATAAGAAGACTGTAAGACTATAAGATGAACTCCTGCTCGGGGGGGGGGGGGGGGCTCTCTCTCTCTCTCTCTGTATATATACATATATATGTATATATAGAAATATTACATATTTCTATGATCCACTCTTAAGTCTAGAAGTCATGAAATCAAAAGGACTCAAACTAATTTTATATCTTTCCTATTCATTCTTTCTGCCTAATATAATGAGTTAGTGATTGAAGCAAACCACATTTTATTTTATTTTATTTTTTTGAGACGGAGTCTCACTCTGTCTCCCAGGCTGGAGTGCAGTGGCGCGATCTCGGCTCACTGCAAGCTCCGCCTCCCGGGTTTACGCCATTCTCCTGCCTCAGCCTCCCGAGTAGCTGGGACTACAGGCGCCTGCCACCGCGCCCGGCTAATTTTTTGTATTTTTAGTAGAGACGGGGTTTCACCATGTTAGCCAGGATGGTCTCGATCTCCTGACCTCATGATCCGCCCGTCTCAGCCTCCCAAAAGTGCTGGGACTACAGGCGTGAGCCACCGCGCGCAGCCGGAAGCAAATCACATCTTACAACAAGATGCATTGTTTATATATTCTTTTGCTTTCTAGAGTCTAATAAAATCCTTATTTTATGTAATATGAATCCCAGTAGAATAAAATTCTATATGTGAACAAAATACAGATTCAAGCTATTACCAAAGCTATTCTCAAACAAGTTCTACCCCTTTACTAGGAACAAACTGAATTCTAGCTCGACAATCACTTTCCACTCCCAGAATTCTAAAGGGATTAAAATTAGCCCAATTCGCTGGGTGCGGTGGCTCACGCCTGTAATCCCAGCACTTTGGGAGGCTGAGACAGGCAGATCACCTGAGGTACGGAGTTCGAGATCAGCCTGACCAATATGGTGAAACCACATCTCTACAAAAAATACAAAAATTAGCCAGCTATGGTGGCACATGACTGTAATTCCAGCTACTAGGGAGGCTGAGGCATGAGAATCACTTGAACCCAGGAGGCGGAGGTTGCAGTGAGCCGAGATTGCCTTATTGCACTCCAGCCTGAGCTACAAGAGCAAAACTCCTTATCAAAAAAAAAATTAGCCCAATTCTTGATTACTTCTTTGGTTTCCCAGTGGCATAATTGATAACATATGCACTGCTACGAGAAAACTACTGGCTGACTATGATGATCCAGGCCTACTCTGAAAACACGGCCATCTCTTTTTTGTTTTTCTTCTTTAAAGTTTCTAAGTTTTTTCCCATTTCTCAAACAAAAAGGATAAATTTCTAACTTTCAAAAATCATATGCTAACAATTCTATTTTTTAATAATAAAAATAAAGAGGCTCTATTTCCTAAACCACAGGGGGCACTATTTGCAAAGCCACTCTACAGATTTCAAAAAAAAAAAAAAAAAAAAAAAATGCCAGGGATAGGGAGGGTCCACATATCCTGTTATTAACAGAATGAGCTCCAAAAACTTGATTACTCTGAAGTTATTATAAAAGTCGTTTTGTAAAAAATGAGAAAGGCACTAAACAAAACCTTATCCAATCTAAGCAGGTCTGTATTGGTCTCCATCATTCAAAACCCCAATGTGGTATCAACCGAATAAATGGAATGGGCACTATCTCCAATCAATGTATCTTTTTGGGTAACAAGTCGAAAATAATGAAATAATTCAGAAAATGCTTCTATAATAAAAAAACTGTTTCACACTTTCTTCTTGCACACTTCATTTTAGTAAGCAAATATCCAACTACTGTAATTACTGTGTAAAAAAAACTATAAATGAGATACATTTGAACCCAACATTCAGTTATCTTGTTTGTCTCAGAAATATAATTCTAGATAAGAAAATGAGGAAAGGAGGACTCCTCAAATACATAATATTTCAATAGTAGTTTGAAATACCATCCTACATTTCTGCAGTAAAGGCTCTTAACTTCCAAAATGCTCATTCTCTTGTTTGATGAATTATATTAACAGTTTATGTGCAAATTGTATCTGTTTAAAGGTTAAGCCATCTTTAAAAGAAAATCCAAATATTCTAAAATATAGTTTAGTGTTATTTTTCAAAAATCTATTCAGTTAAAAAAAGAAAAATTTAATTGAGTGCCTTTGACATGCCAGGCTTTGAACTCGGTTCCAAAAAAATAGAAAAAATACTCTGTAAACTAGTGGGAACAGTTACTAATTTTAGAAAGTTAGACAAAAGTATTCATAATGGTCCCTCATATGAGCACAAATACTTCATCTGACTCTCAACTTATCCCCACTTGATCAAAAATTTTGCTAATTGCAAAATATAATCTGTATCACTGGGGTAGCAAATCACCATCAAATCCACCACAATTATTACTAGATCACATTCTGTCCCAACACAACTCTTTGTAGTTGCCCATTCTACTGTTCCTTATCTCAATTAGGTTTATACTGACAAATACGCTGCCTAATACAAGTATAATTAAAAGCTTGCAAGAGGGGAGAAATATTTTGTACTATTATTACTCCAATGATCTCTACAGAAATGAAGAAGTGAAACGAAAATGCAAAATTAAACTCTCAAACGGCTAATACGCTTTCAGGGAAAAAAAATTTTTTAAGTTGCTATCTTTAGGTCATCTGTTTGTATCATAAGTAATCTATAGAGATTTTTCCCCCCTAAGTAGATTAAAAACTAAAATATTTTACTTACCTAAGAGTAGTCCAGTCTAAATGTTAAAAGTTTAAATTTTAGCCAGGCACGGTGGCTCACGCCTGTAATCCCAGCACTTTGGGAGACTGAGGCTGGTGGATTGCCTGAGATCAGGAGTTCGAGACCAGCCTGGCCAACATAGTGAAACCCCCATCTCTACTAAAAATACAAAAAATTAGCTGGGTGTGGTGGCAGGCACCTGTAATCCCAGCTACTAGGGACACTGAGGCAGGAGAATTGCTTGAACCTGGGAGGCGGAAGTTGCAGTGAGCCAAGATTGCGCCATTGCACTCCAGCCTGGGCAACAAGGGCGAAACTCCATCTCAATTTAAAAAAAAAAAAAAAGGGTATATATAGTTCTTAACTTAGTAAAGTGGAGACTGTCAGCCACATGCTACAATAGGGAAGAATCGGCCAGGCGCAGTGGCTCACGCCTGTAATCCTAGCACTTTGGGAGGATGACGACGTCAGGAGATCGAGACCATCCTGGCTAACACGGTGAAACCCCGTCTCTACTAAAAAAATAGAAAAAATTAGCCAGGCGTGGTGATGGGTACCTGTAGTCCCAGCTACTCAGGGGGCTGAGGCAGGAGAATGGCGTGAACCTGGGAGGTGGAGTTTGCAGTGAGCTGACATCGCGCCACTGCACTCCAGCCTGGTCAACAGAGCGAGACTCTCGTCTCAAAAAAAACAAACAAACAAACAAAAAAAGTGAAGAATCACCTACAACAAATGACCACTTCCAATATGTTTGAAAATAATCTTAAGTAAACATTACTCTTCAAATTTTATTTACAAATGATTAATTTGCCTGTTGATCTTTTTTTCATACAAACGTAATATTCAACAAAATTAGAATTAGATCAAATTTATTTTAATTTTCTATTTTTGTTTACATATATTTGATCTACTTCTGATTTTGCTGAATATCCACTGAAGATGTGAAAAAGAATCAGGAATGTGATGTTTGCATGTATTTATACAGTTTAAAGTAAAATAATGATTATTCCAATAAAAAACACAAAAAGCTCGTATCAGGTAAGTAACTTGACAACATTCTGTAGAACAACATAGGCAGATCTAAAATCAAGTATGTGTGTGTGTGTGTGTGTCTGTGTGTGTGTGTGTGTGTGTGTTTTGAGACAGAGTTTCACTCTGTCACCCAGGATGAAGGGCAGTGTGAACTCGGCTCACTGAAACCTCCACCTCCTGGGTTCAAGCCTGCCTCAGCCTCCCAAGTAGCTGGGATTACAGGCGTGTGTCACCATCCCCTGCTAACTTTTGTATTTTCAGTAGAGATGGCGTTTCACCATATTGGCCAGGCTGGTCCCGAACCCCTGACCTCAGGTGATCCACCCAACTCAGCCTCCCAAAGTGCTGGGATTACAGGCATGAGCCACCGCGCCTGGCCTAAAATCAAGTATATTTCTTATGGCGACTTGAGTAAGAAAGAGTTATTAGCTATATTTAATTAAGTTGTCTCATTTCAAATTATTTATAATTTACAAGATACTACAACTTATTAACATTAAAATGTATTAATATATTACATATTTTATAATTGTAAAATAATTAAGTTGTTTCATTTCGAACAACTTACTGAGTTTCAGGACTTTTTTTAATCCAAAAGCAATACTTTGATTACATAAACTATATACGCATGTCAAATCATGTCAGTATTCACACCAAACATCAGGTCCTTTACATAACACGTTAATATATTTAGTACAGTCTTAAAAAAAAAAAAAAAAAAGGCCAGGCGCAATGGCTCATGCCTGTAATCCCAGCACTTTGGGAGGCCGAGGCAGGTGGATCATCTGAGGTCAGGAGTTCAAGATCAGCCTGGCCAGCATGGTGAAACCCCGTCTGGACTAAAAATAAAAAAATTAGCTGGGTATGGTGGCAGACGCCTGTAATTGCAGCTACTTGGGAGGCTGAGGCAGGAGAATCGCTTGAATCCAGGAGGCGGAGGTTGCAGTGAGCCAAGATCGCGCCATTGCACTCCAGCCTGGGCGCAAGAGCGAAACTCCATCTCAAAAAAAAAAAAAAAAAAAAAGCCTAGTTTGACTTTTTAAAATGAGCTCCCTCTGGGTCAATTTGGCTTGTTTGGCAACCAACTCAATGACTCACAGAAGAAAATAAAAACTGTTCCTCAGTCAAGGACTATCTCATTCTCAGTTAAATACCTTAGTATTTAAATTTATATGCAGGTTAAAACAGAGTTTGAGAACCATCATAGAGGCTGAATATCCCTTATCAGAAATGCTTGGGACCAAAAGTATTTTGAATTTCTGATTTTTTCAGATTCTGGAATATGTGCACGATATGGCAGTTGAGCATCCCAAATCCAAAAATCAAAATCTGAAATACTCCAATGAGCATTTCCTGTGAGTGCCATGTCAGCATTCAAAAAGTTTTGGCCTTTAGAGCATTTCAGATTTTGGATTTGGGATGCTCAACCTGTACTAAGGTAAATTGATAAGAAAAGTTAATGTTTCTCAAAATTCAGTTTCTGCTACTAACATGTGCTTCAGGGGCAAATAGTGAAAAATTACTAAACTTCGAGTTAGAAGCCCTGTATTCAACTCCTGATTCTGGTTATACAACCAGGAGCATGTGACTCATCTAAGAGGTGGAAATATTGTCATTCACCTTCCTCACAGACCCTAAAAAATAAGTGTACTTCACAATGTTCTGAGTACGTTTTTAAAACGTGAAGTGGTAAGCATAATAAAACAACCACTCAAGTACGTATTAAATATGAACCAAAGAAAAGAATCTTTCTTAAAGTATGGGTGTTTGAAATTTTCTTAAATTCCTTTAAATTTCTCAAATTCACATAAAATTACAAGCAATATCAAAATACACCACAAACACTAATTCAAATACTGCAAAATATAACACAGCAAAAAGATCAGAAAGAAACTCACACCTTCCTAAAATCGAAAATGTATTCAAATCAGTGAATTCTGGGACAAAAAGGGATTACATCCCAGACGAAGGATGGTTTCAGTGTTAACCAAACCTCAGCACATTGTTTCAGTTAAGTAAATTAATCCATCATCTTTTTTTTTTTAAACCTTTATCATGGTTCTCAGATGTTTTTCACATAAACACAGAGCAAGAATATTAGGAAAAGTAGTTTATCCAAAATACACTTATGTCAGACTAATAATTAGACTGGGGCGGGCCAGGCGCCATGGCTCATGCCTGTAATCCCAGCAATTGAGAGGACGAGGAGGTCGGATCACCTCAGGTCAGGAGTTAAGACCAGCCGGCTAGGCTGTAAAATCCCATCTCTACTAAAAATACAAAAAACAAGCTAGGCATGGTGGTGGGCACCTGTAACCCCGGCTACTTGGGAGGCTGAGACAGGAGAATCACTTGAATCTGGGAGGTGGAGATTGCAGTGAACTGAGATCGCGCCATTGTACTCCAGCCTGGGCAATAAGAGCGAAACTCTGTCTCAAAAAAAAAAAAAAAAAAAAAAAAAAAAAGACGGGAGCAACAATATCTGGCAAATGTGGCCTCCAACAGACATGTAAGAGTAGACCACCACTGGGCATGGTGGCTCACGCCTGTAATCCTAGCATTTTGGGAGGCAGAGACAGGCGCATTGCCTGAGCTCAGGAGTTCGAGGCCAGCCTGGGCAACATGGTGAAACCCCCTCTCTACTAAAATACAAAAGAAATTAGCTGGGCATGGCGGTGGGCGCCTGAAGTCCCAGCTACTCGGAAGACTGAGGCAGGAGAATTGCTTGAACCCAGGAGGCAGAGGTTGCAGTGAGCCGAGATCGTGCCACTGCACTCCAGCCTCGGCGACAGAGCAAGACTTGTCTCTACAAAAAAAAAAGTACAGCACCTAATTAGCTTGGGGGCAAGATATCACAAATATCAAAAGGGGCATTCCACATTTTGAAATATAATCTCTGAGCACAAACTTCAGCACGGGACAAGTCCAACTGTAAGCAAGTTCTACACTGAGCACTGGCTTGAAGTCAATCCTGATTTAAAATTAGTTAATAGGCCGAGAGCAGTGGCTCACACCTGTAATCCCAGCACTTTGAGAAGCCAAGGCGGGTGGATCACCCGAGGTCAGGAGTTTGAGACCAGCCTAGCTAACATGGCGAAACCAGTCTCTGCTAAAAATAACAAAAATTAAAGGGTGTGGTGGCTGATGCCTGTAATCCCAGTGACTCAGGAGGCTGAGGCAGGAGAATCACTTGAACCCAGGAGGCGGAGGCTGCAATCTGCCAAGATCGCGCCACTGAGCTCTAGCCTGGGCAACAGGAGCGAAACTCTGTCTCAAAAAAAAAAAAATCAGTTAATAACTACACCTGAAGAATATAAACTTATCTAGCAGCCACTGGCAAGAAATTTCAAAGTGCTGGTCTTCTGGAAGCAGCAAGCAGCAAACTACCATAAATGAGTCTAAAATTATTATCTTCATTAGGCTTAACCAATGTCTTAAACTACACTGTTAACTAAATTTCCCTCAAAACCTTAAAGGCACCAGAATAAAGCTCAGGATCCCAAGTCTTAAGGACTAGTCCAAGCTCTAACTTTGCTGTGAATAAACCTTCAGTCAGTCATTTAATATGCTTTATTCATTTCTTCTGTAAAATAGAAATGGGCAAGGATATTTCAAGGAATCAAAACTAATAGTGGAAAAATTCAAAGTTCCTAAATGAAACACAGCCAACCTCTTGTTAAGAATTAAATAAAATTATATATGTAAAACTGCTCAAGAATAATGTTTGCCACATTTTAAACACTTAGTGTTAGGAACTGTTATTACACATTAATTTTAGTCAAATAGGAAAAAATATAAAACAACCCGATCAAGAAACTAAATATTTAATAATCCCAATCTTGTCCATTACCTCGGCATTCAAAACCTTGGAATGAAAATAATAGTTTAGCCTACTAGATAATGCAGCAGGAAAAATAAAATTATGATACCTTGGCTGATAGGTGGTTGTGTTTTTTTTTTTTGAAATGGAGTCTTACTCTGACGCCCAGGATGGACTGTGGTGGCGTGATCTCGGCTTACTGCAACCTCCGCTTCCCAGGTTCAAGCGATTCTCCTGGCTCAGCCTCCCAAGTAGCTGGGACTACAAACACACACCACCATGCCTGGCTAATTTTTGTATTTTTAGTAGAGATGGGGTTTTACCATGTTGGCCAGGCTGGTCTCAAACTCCTGACCTGAAGTGATCTGCCCACCTGGGCCTCCCAAAGTGCTGGGATTGTGAGCCATTCATTGCTCCCACCTGTTGATAGGTTGTTTGTTTGTTTTGTTTTGTTTTTTGATGGAGTTTCCCTCGACGCCTACGCTGGAGCGCAATGGCACAATCTCGGCTCACTACAACCTCCGCCTCCGGGGTTCAAGCGATTCTCCTGCCTCAGCTCCTGAGTAGCTGGGATTACAAGTGTGCGACACCACATCCGTCTAATTTTTGTATTTTTAGTAGAGATGGGATTTCACCATGTTGGCCAGGCTGGTCTCAAACTCCTGACCTCAGGTGATCCACCTACTTCAGCCCCCCAAAGTGTTGGGATTACAGGTGTGAGCCACTGAGCCCGGCAGGTTTTTATATTAATATTTTATTAGTTTAAAATAACTTTTCCTTACTCTAGCTGTCATTTTTTTTGTTATTCCTTTCAAATCACAAATTCTTCAGATACATGTCTTTTCCATTTGTTTCAAATATTGAGCAAGCCTGAATATCCAAACATAGAAACATCAGAAATCATAGGTGTATCTCTGAAAAATGCTGTTTTGAGCCCACGGGAATTGTGGCCATTGTACCATTTGCAAATGGAGATAACACCAAAGCGCAAATTATCGAGTCCTAGAAAAACAACAGATGTAGTGGTCAAGAAGCAAGATGTGTGCCAAAGAGGATAAGAAAAAGAAGCCCTGGCTGGACACAGGGGCTCAAGGATGTAATCCCAGCCCTTTGGGAGGCCAAGGTGGGCGGATCACGCGGTCAGGAGTTCAAGACCAGCCTGGCCAACATGCTGAAACCTGGCCTCTACTAAAAGCACAAAAAAAAAAAAAAAAGAAGCCCTAACTCCTCCACTCCCTGGCTACATAATTTTGGGAAAGTCATTTTATCTCTCTGAGCTTCATTCACTTTATCTGTAAAACGGAATAATAGTCTTACTTCTCTCACAGGATGTTTGGAAAGTCAAATGAGGAAACATACTGCAAAGCACTTTATGGCCTAAAAACTGCAATACAAATATATCAATCGGTATTTTGTTGTTGTTGCATGAGCAATGTTCAACATACAGGTTAAGTTACACACTAAACATAGAATTTTCATTTCAAAGTAAACCATTACCATTATTAAAAATTGATATAAAAAACTTGCCTTGGATTGATTTCTCTTTCCACTTCTCATGCTAAACTTCTCCTTCATTTCTTCTAAAATTATCTTCAGTTTCTTTTCTTCAGGTGTTCCTAAGTATTTTTGGTTCACATGAAGATAGCAATGCCATTTAGCTGATTCAAAGCCCCAGTGGCAAGTTCTTTTGTCAGGTGATCTGTGAGAATGCATCACAAACGTCTGGGGTGCAAACATTCCACAACACTCCAGACATTGAATACACGGAGCATCAGGCTGAACATAAAACTGGGGTGCAAATAAACCCTGACATTTGCCTAGGCATTCATGCTCCACTTCAAAGGCACTGCCAGTTTCCTTTAACTGGGCCAATGAGCTTTTAGCAGGAAGTACGCTACCATTTTGAGGAAAAGTTCGTGGCCGCAATAAAGCATTACATAATCTTTGTGCATCAGTTAATGTAATCAGCCCACAGGATGGGGCATTGAATGGAAGTATGCCCAGTACCTTTAAGATATGAAGCTGGTCTGAAGTACACCTTGAACAATATATGTACAGTTCATCACACACTGTATTTATTTGCTGGAGTGTAAATTCTCGGAGAACAGAATTTAAGACTTGGGGCAAACAGAGTCTCTTTTCTCCTCCAACTTGAAAACAAGAAATAGATTCCCCTTCCAACACAGTCTGAGTGAGTTCTGTGGAGCTATCTGAAGGGATGAGCAATGGGCCAGGAAGAACCTGAGGTGATGGAAGAGGCAGAAATACAGTAGGCGACATGCTTTCTTGGGAATGCCGAGCAGAAAATGCTGCTGGTCCACCCAGCGAGCTCTGACTACTTAAATGGAATTGTGCCAATGTGTGTTTCAAACTGGGATTTAAATGCAAAGTTTCAGGAACAGAAGTACAGGTTCGCTTAACATGCTCTCCATCAGTTTCCACTGGTGCTTCTCCATAGTCATCCAAGTGTTCCTTCTTAACTGTTGGCACCTTGTTTATCGTTTTTCCATTTGCATGAATGTCCGTTATCATTTTTTTCGCTGGGGGGCTGCCATCATCTCCCATCCCATTCAGTTTTTTAGTTGAGCCCTGAACCAAGGAGAAATTTGTCTGGAGGTTTTCCATGGTACACTCTTCTGTTAAATAATTAAGTCTGAGATTAGCATTTCTATTTAGTTGCTTATTTGAAAAGAGGAAAGTAATGAATGGATACAAATGCCTATCGTAACTTACTCTCAAACTTTCAAAGCGAGAGCCCCTTAAATTAATAAATTTTGCGACTTAGTTTTGGTTCTCCTTATAATCTGGTATAATTTCACTACAAATCCTATAAAATTGTTCGTTTTGCCTCTAATAATAAAGAAAAGAGGCACACCTCTGAGGATGCCTTTGTTTTCTTGAATTCTTCAGATATACATATTAAAATAAAGTTACCAATTTCTCAATTAAAGATGTCCAGGGTCAATGCAATGGTCTGGTTTGTTTTAACCAAAACACATGAAAAGTTTATGCCATTCCTTGTGCCATAAAATCTAGACTCAAACACAAGTCAAAATGATGCAACCAAATTTAATCTTTACCACCAAGGAAACCAAAAAGGAGGGCAGAGGGAGTATTTCCTCTAAAAATGATGGTCTGCTGGTCTGTGCTGAAAAACTGAAGACGTGTGTAAATCCTCACACCAGTAAGAACAGCCTCCGACTTAAAAAATTGCCCAGTTATCTTCAAGGATTATAGTTCATTCTTCTTTTAATTAATCTGGAAGAAGAGAAGGGGGGTTGGGGAAGAGTTACATTTGAATTTGCTCCAGAGGCCAAAGGGCCAATTTGAAACCAGTTTCTTTTATTTTTTTTTTTTTCTTTTTTTTACGGAGTCTCGCTCTGTCGCCCAGGCTGAAGTGCAGCGATCTCGGCATACTGCAACCTCCGCCTCCCGGGTTCAAGCAATTTTCCTGTCTCAGACTCCGGAGTAGCTGGGACTACAGGCACAAGCCACGACACCCGGCTAATTTTTTTGTATTTTTAGTAGAAACGGGGTTTCACCATATTAGTCAGGCTGGTCTTGAACTCCTGACCTCAGGTGATCCGCCCGCCCGGGCCTCCCAAAGTGCTGGAATTACAGGCGTGAGCCACCGCACCCGGCCGAAATCAGTTTCTTAATCTTAAACTGAGTTCAGTTTACCAAGGTGAAGCTTGAGTGATTTCTTTAAATCTAACACCAGTTTACTAGAAGAACATTCATTTAAATAGGAAAGCAATTTGGAGTTGCGTAAAGCGAGCAATAATATAACATAAAAGGCCTTTCGAGTTCAGAATATGAAGACTCTTAAGCAGATCATCTCAATTAGTAGTACCGGGGCTTTCTCAGCTATGCCATTTTAAGGGAGGGAAAAAAATCCATTACTTCATCTCCTATTTAAAAACAAAACAACAGTTTCATCCAAAAAAATCAGATAGGAGTTAACATATCTACCATATGTAACTAAGTTACAATTTTAAGTGGATTAATTCAGCTAGTCCGTGTACACTATTTTTCTGGAATGACTGCAGGCAAAAATTAACTTTCTCTTAAAAAAAGGTTAGCGATTTTACTTAATGGAAGCCAAAAGCTATAGACTCCACGCCTGGGAATCTCCATCCTTCAACAAGACTAATCCGGGACAAAAAGCACAAGGCAGACAAACCTCACAAAGAATGCAAATGGAGGAAGAGGGAAAAAGAAAAGACTCTTTTTCCACTTCCTTCTTGAGAGAAAAGCCAAAAGAAATCCAATAAATAGAAATTTTTGCTTCCCAAACTCTCAGCACTTTACCTTAAAACAGACCCAAAGGATTAAGGACCAATGCCACCAACCATCGTACAGACTTTCGTCCACCACAGGAACACACCTTACTCAACACAGGCCAAGGAAGAGAGCAAGAGGCATGACCTAGAATGGGGGAGCCCCTAAAACCCTGAAGTCCTCCGCCCACTCAAAGCCACCCACCTATCTCTAACCCGGAGAGAGGGAGAACAAGGGACACGGGAAGCCTGGGGGTGGGTGTGCAAGGGGGTGGAGGGAAGTAAAGGGAGGAGTCCCCCCACCCCCACCGGCGAGCCTGGGATAACCCCAAGTGCCCTCCCAACACCGCCCCCCCGCGGGGGCCGCGGGAAGGACTGTGGAAATCCACCCCCCCGCGCACCCTCTCCCTGGGAAGTTCTCGGGTGTCACCTCAGCGCCCCTAATGCTGCACCTCCCCGCGCCAGCCCCGGGCCAGAACGAAGAGGACACCAGGGCAGTTTAGGCGCCGGGCGCGGATCCCTGCGCCGCCGGGGGCTGACGGACCGGGTCGAGACCAGGGCATCCCCGCGGAGCGCTGCTGGACTGGGGGAGGGGGGCGGTGACGGGCGTCCGGGTCTCCGGGGTCCCCGCGGCTCCCGTCAACTACAGCGCCCTGCCCTGCCGGCGCCCACCGCCTGGGGCCAACGAAGCGTGATCAGCCGTGGAACACCCGCCTAGCGACCCCCTCTGGCCCCGACCCCACCCGGGACCCGCGCATCCAAACCCCCTACTCGGGCCTCGGTGCCCGGGTAAGCTCGACGAGCTTTGTGAATTCCCCACCGCCCCTGTCGCCGCCGTCGGGCTCCTAGGAGGGTGAGCGCCTCTGGCCTCCCGCCGCCTCCGCCGCGTCGCCGCCGTAAGCCGGAGCCGCACCTGTGCCCGCCGCCGCCGCCGTCGCCGCTCGCCCGCTCCCTTCGGCTGTGCCGGCGCGGCTCCGAACCCCACACACATCGCTACACACAGCCCTCTGACGTCACCGAGTCCTCGGCCCGCCCACGTCACTGCGGAGACACACAGCTTCCCGCAGACGCCGCCGCCGTCTCCGGCCGCCCGGGGGAGAGCGAGGGCGGCGGGGAGGGGGAGGGGAAGGGAACGGAGCCAGCGGCGGCGCCGCGCGCGCGGGCCCGCCGGCGTCGTCGCCGCCGCCGCCACTTCGCGGCTCCCGGCCCCCTCGTGGACGCGCGTGCCGTCTGGCCTATTGTGGCTCCTCAGAGCGCCCCCCTGGCCCCGTCGTCTCGCGCGCGTGCCCCTCCCCCCAGGCGCGCGCCCGGCGCTTCTGGCCCCGCGCGCCGTCTGGGAAGCTGGCGCGCGGCGCTGTCTGCGGTGCACCCGGCGCAGACAGGATGTTCCCTCCCCACCCCACCCTCACCGCCGCCCTCCCTCCTTCCTTCCTCTAGTCGCCCAGCCGGCTGTCTGGGGCCACCGCCCCGCCCCCGCCCCACCCGCCGCTCTGTGGTGATGGGCCAGACGCGGGGGCGCCCTGGCCGCTCGGACGCCGCGCAGCGGGGAAGAGGGGGCAGGGCAGCCGCGCGGTGCACTGTGCGCGACCCCAGCAGCCGGCAGGGCGGAGGCAGTGCCCGCCCGGCAGAGTGCCGCCGCCCGAGGTCAGGCACGGGCGACCCTCCCCCTGCGGGGCCGCAGCTGGGCCGCCCCGCCCCGGAGGCAGCCGGGCGGCGGCCGCCCTGCAGGGCCCCCGGGGCCGGCTCTGCTCCCCGCCCCCGCGGGACCTCCCTCCTGGGCTGCCCCTCGCCCCCGCGGGGCCTCCTGCCCGAGGGCCGCCCAGCCAGCTGCCGGCGCTCCGCCCCGCCCCGGCGGCCCCGGCCTCGCCCGGGCGGCCTCCACCCAGACGCCTTCCCCTGGCTGACCTCCATCCGCCATCGGGCCGGGCGGGAGGGGTGGCCAAAGTTCCGGCAAAACCGAGAGCAAACATTTCTGTCCCTACTCCCCAGCCTCCTGCCTCCACCCCACCAGGCTGCTCTCTCGGTTCCAGAAGGGAGCTATAAATTAAAGGTTTTTACAGTGTTTACTGAGGGTGTTTTTTTGTGTGTGTGTTTTTTTGGAGAGGGACGAGACGAGGTAGGGAAGATAGGACTCAAGAGCTTTCCGGCTGTGACCCTCTGAGGCGTGTAGGGTGGTCTTCCTGGTTCCCAGGGTAGCCGATTAGCATATTGAACTCTGCAGAGCTGCTCCGTCACATTTCGAAACACCAAGAAATCCCCTTTTCTCCACCCCACCACAAGATCAGGAACTGAAATAGTCCACCGAGTAGCAGTGCACAAAATTCAGGAGACTCGAGCTTTGTCCCTTTTTTCCCCCCCATTTTCGTCCAATTTCTTCTAGTTTTACTGCTTCGGGTTGTTCCTGTGGGGGCCCACATTTGCAGTCGGCCGGCTGGAAATACTCTTGTGCTCGTACTTTTTATTTTTTTTTTCCTCACAACAGGCCTCCGAAAGGCTCACAAGCCTCTCAATCCCCACCACTCCCCGCACCCCCACCCAAGTTCCCTTCCTTAGGCCTCCACCGCCGAGCTCCCAGGTCGTGCCCCCTCTCCACCCCGCCCCCCCACCTTTTCTTCCTTCTTGACTGCCTCCTTTCCTGAACATGAATAATTCCACAGCACTTTCCATCTGTTATTGCCATAGAGACAGAAGCGTGGCAAAGATAATGATGTTCTGTGCAGAGCCAGTGGGGGAAAAACAGCATCTGCGAGTCTAGGGGGATAGATTTTCTAACTGTGAGAATATTCAGAAGGCCTAGCTGAAGATCTGATGTGAAGACTGGACAGTCCTGAAACTTGGCACCAGGTCAACTCTCAGCACCTGGCTCCTGTGTCTAGCCAGAAGTAACAATTTTTAGAAACCAACATGACTGGTTAATAAAAAAGTAATTCCAAAACTGCAATTATTAATAAATGTTTAGCAGTCATTTTACCAGCCATAAGAATAATTACTTGCTAGCATGTCCAAGGACGAAGATAAATTGGACAGTAAATAGACTTTTGAGAAATCAAACACATTAATCCGCCTCCCCGTTCTGTTGATTTGCATTCCTCAGAAATCTGTTTTTGAGAGATCTTTCATGCCTGTGATTTTAAGTGCAATGGTTTGACAAATAGTGACCGGCAAATATGACTAGAACCAATCAAATTTGAGGGCATTTATTTTTCCCTTATTGGTCAAAGTACAAAATGCATCAAATTAAAATCATTTTGTCCTTGAATTCCCAAACCTCAAAGGTACGCGTTTGAAAGCAAGTGAAACTGAACGGGGTCCATTTATACATAGATCTGAGGCAGATGGGGAGGCTCACAGGAAGGCACATTTTTGCAGGCCTACTTAAGGATTTTCAGAAGTTATCAGTAAAATTGATTGTATGTATCATACGACATTGAACACAAATGATAATGGTTCTTTATTCCAAATACAGAATTGCACAGACACAGAAAATGCAGGCCTTAGAAAAAATAAGCACTGCGAGGTAATGAATTTTGTAATTCCACAGGCTCATGGTCTTCATCAGTGTCGAAAAGTCAATTAAAGGATTGGTCAACAAATAGTTATGTAGTTATTAGGTGGATTTTGCATGACCTCCCACCTCACCTTCTTGGCTGCCAGCAGGAGTTGAGCAAGACCACCATGAGAGTGTGCTTGTCTGCGCATGAGAATTTCAAATGATTGGGGGTGGGGACTACCTATTGTTTCATCTTCTTCCATTAAATAGTACAGATACAAGATCCAAATTAACTGGTACTAGGTAGTCTAGAATGTCTTCTTCGTTAATTATGGCTGTCTGATAACAGAGACCAAGAATGGAGAGGTTACAAACTCGAAGGCCAGCTCTGTTCTGTGACCTGATAAATAGTTTGAGGCAAATGCTTTTCTTTTGTCTCCATTTACTGATCTGTTGATAATGACCCACTAATATTAATTACAAAGAAGATGGAAATGAGAAAGGATAGGGTAAGATGCAAAAATTCAACATAAATTATTTTTATTTTTATGAAGGAGGGGGAAGAAATTCAAATGTTAATTGAGCATGCAAACACTGGCTTGTGTTTGCATTTACACCTTCTGCTCTTTTCCAAAGAAAAGAAACCAGTTATGGTCTCTGATGGTCCTTCTGCCAAAGTCCTCCTTCCTTGAGCCTCGATTTAAAAAAATGTGTTTAAAAGGTTTTGTTTTGTTTGTTTAGCAGCAAGTCAAATGCTAGGAGGTCAGTTTCACAAAAGAATGTCAACCATTTCCTTTTCCATCTCATTTTTTTCCTGTAGCTTTTCGTTAATTTCTTTTTTTCGGAATTATGATCTTTAACTTTTTTTTTTCTTCTTTTGAGATGGAGTCTGGCTCTCTCACCCAGTCTGAAGTGCAGTGGTGCTAGCTCCCAAGTGGCTGGAACTACAGGCGCGCACCACCACGTCTGGCTCATTTTTTGTATTTTTGTAGAGAGGGGGTTTCACCATGTTGGCCAGGCTGGTCTCGAACTCCAGACCTCAGGTGATCTGCCCGACTTGGCCTCCCAAAGTGCTGGGATTACAAGCGTGAGCCACAGCACCCGGTCTGATCTATAACTTCTTCACAGCACTTTAATCATTTTCGTACCTGTCCTCTTCCCTTTACACTTTATTCCTCCATACTTGTTTTGTGTTACTGTTACTGCCAATGCACAGTATCTTCCCCTCGTTGAGTAGGGTTTCTCCTCTGGACTGCTTTCTCCTCTTATCTGCCAAGTCAGTACTGGATCTACAAGGTCCCTATTTCTACTTTTATACCTTATAGTAAGGTATAAAATAGGATGAAAACCACATGCTTAAAAACTATTAACCTCATCTCCCTGAATAGTGTCATGCAGCACTTCCTTTTATTTTTTTCCAGCTTTTTTTCCTTTCTTTTCTTTTTTAAATAAGATAGGGTCTAGCTATGTTGCCCAGGCTGGAATACAGTGGCTGTTCATAGATGTGATCATAGCATACTGCAGCCTTGAACTCCTGTACTCAAGCAATCCTCCCACTTCAGCCTCCTGAGTAGCTCAGACTATAGGTGCATGCCACCATGCCTAGCTGTTTTTTCAGGCTTTAACTTAGGCTCCATGCAACTGGAAGGAAAGAGAAAAAAACAAAAAGGAGTAGCCAGATATGGTAAAATAGAGAAAGATCATGTTAGAAATGTTTGAATTTTCAATATTTAATTTGCAAAAAATTCTAAAATCAATGTAATAGTCACATTAAGTGTATTTCATTATCAATTCTAGGAATTTCATAAGTGTTTAGAAAGTTAAGCAGTTTAATTTATTGCAAATCAGAAACTTTTTTCTCTGACGTTCTCCTGGAAAAAAAAAAATGGGAAGAACTATTATCTTGGCAACAGCTCTATGATATTGCCGAGCTATGATTTGCAAACCATAAATTGAGAGATGCTGAATTAGTAGTGCTAGACTCTACGTAGCTCAAAGTGCTTCACTTATTCTTATGAGATACATACAAGAAATCCCCTTTTTTTAACAAAAGGGAAGTTGAGACAGAGTTTAGGTCGCCTGCTAAACCACATTGCTCATCGGTGATAGAACAGACATTGAAACCAAATGGACTTGACCCACATCCACGGAGTTCCATTCGTTTTCTCAGTCTTCTTGTGCACATTCAAATAAGCTATAAGGACTGCTTCAAATTATTCAAAAAGAGCAAATATTAAAACTCACAGGTTGGGTACATTTATCACAACCCACAGTAATACTTATCCTTACTATGAGCAATGCTCTCTGATCATTCAATTTTATTCTGTTTCTTTGTATTTAAGTCCACTACTAATGCATTGTAATCTGCAGTTTAAGAAACAATGAATTAAATAACAATAATCAATGTTAACATTTATATAGTGTTTACTATTGCTAGGTTCTGTTCTAAGCACTTTACATATAATAATTCATTTAATCTTAATAACAACCATGTGAGGTAATGGCTATTATTGCCCCATTTTACAGATGAGGAAAAGCACAGAGTTATGCCCAAGATCACACAGCTAGATAAATCCTTTGCTTAGATTGTGAGAAAGGCTGTCTTTGATTTTTGAATCTGAGTTCTATGTAGGATCAATATGGAGGTAAAAAAAAATAGGATATCAAAGTTTATGTCATATGATTTGTGGGTCACTAAAGATTCTAACTCCTTCACTGCAATATGACATAGTGTTTGAAATCCCTAGAATAGCTGGGCGCAGTGGCTCATCCCTGTAATCCCAGCACTTTGGGAGGCCAAGGTGGGCAGATCACGAGGTCAAGAGATTGAGACCATCCTGGCCAACGTGGTGAAACCCGGTCTCTACTAAAAATACAAAAATTAGCTGGGAGTGGTGGCGTGAGCCTGTAGTCCCAGCTACTCGGGAGGCTGAGGCAAGAGAAGCACTTGAACCTGAGAAGCAGAGGTTTCAAAGAGCCGAGATCACACCAATGCACTCCAGCCTGGCGACAGAGTGACATTCCATCTCATAAAACAAACGAACAAACAAACAAAAAACTGAAAATGTGTTACTTGGAAGGGAGTAAGCATTATTATTATTATTATTAATCTCTAAACCTTATAACAGTGCTTCAAGGTAGGCAATATTATCCCCACTTATCAGATGGGAAAATTGATATTTTGAGTTTATCTGGAATCTTTGCTGGAGTTTGCTGTCAATATCAGATTAATTACTTATACTATAGAGTCCTATTTTGATGGAACACAACATAAAGCAACTTTGATTAGCAGAGGGTGTAGAAATCTTCAGAATGGGGCTGGGTGCAGTGGCTCATGCCCATAATCCCAACATTTTGGGAGGCCAAAGTGGGTGGACCATTTGAGGTCAGGAGTTCGAGAGCAGCCTGGCCAACATGGTGAAATCCCATCTCTACTAAAACACAAAAATTAGCCAGGCATGGTGGTGCATGCCTGTAATCCCAGCTACTTGGGAGGCTGAGGCAGGAGAATCACTTGAACCCAGGAGGCAAAGGCTGCAGTGAGCCAAGATCACGCCACTGCACTCCAGCCTGGGTGACAGAGAAAGACTCCATCTCAAAAAAATAAAAAATTAAGTAAAATAAAATAAAGAGATGATTGGGGTGTATTCATGGTATAGCTCAGGAGAGGGAAAGCTCAGGGGAAGGACTAAAGTAGGTAATTGGGAGCCACCAAATGGTAGAATGAGAATTGTAGTGGCCTCCCTGGGGTTGCCTGCCCAGCCCCCATTTCTTTTCCTGGCTTCTGCCCACCCTCCTGGACTACAAGGCCATAACAGCAGGGCTTCATGCAGCTATGATTGACCTTGCCCCCAGTCACAGACAGCTGGACCAGGAATAGACACCTGAGCCAAGTGAGGCCAATGATCACCTCCCAGAAGTGTTTGGAATGAGCACTGAAAGAGTCTAGTCTCAGCTTGGCTGGTGTACTGAATGGAGGAAACATAATCTCAGGAGCTATTGGCAGTCATACTTGCTTATTGTGGAGTAGAAAAGAAGTGTAAGCCAGTCTGCAGAGAGAAACTAAAATGAGGCAGATGCAAGAGAGGAGCAGATAGAGTGTTGATAAGACTCAAGTCTTAGATTCCAGTTTGTCCCAGAGGCTGAGCTGTGTTTCTGTCCTTGGATGCTCTCGCAACCTTTAAATGAATCCTCTTTTTTGGCTTAAGCTAGCCATCATGGGTTTCTGTTACTTGCAGCCAAAAGAGCCCTAACTAGGCCGAGCACAGTGGCTCATGCCTGTAATCCCAGCATTTTGGGAGGCCGAGGTGGGCAGATTACTTGAGGTCAGGAGTTCAAGACCAGCCTGGCCAATATGATGAAACCCCGTCTCTACTAAAAACATAAAGCATAAAACATAAACAAAACATAAAAAATGCCTCAGCCTCCCTAGTGGCTGAGATTACAGGCGTGTGCAACCACGCCTGGCTAATTTTTGTATTTTTAGTAAACCAACTTTACGATTTGCTTCCTGTCACAGAAGTAACTCTCTATTTTCAATGGTTAGAGGGCTGTGCTGTCCGATATGGTAACCACTAGCCACAGGTGGCTACTTAAATTTAATTAATTAAAATAAATATTTAAAAATTCAGTTTCTTAGGGTTTTTTCTTTTTCTTTTCTTTTTTCTCTTTTTTGTTTGTTTTTTGAGACAGGGTCTCACTCTGTCACCCAGGCTGGAGTGCAGTGGCGAGATCTTGGCTAACTGCAACCTCCGCCTCCCAGATTCAAGGAATTCTCCTGCCTCAGCCTCCTGAGTAGCTGGGACTATAGGTGCATGCCACCATGCCCAGCTAATTTTTGGTAATTTTTCACCATGTTGGTCAGGGTTGTCTCAAACTCCTGACCTCAAGTGATCCATCCGCCTCTGCCTTCCAAAGCGCTGGGATTACAAGCGTGAGCAAGGTGAAAATCAAAAGAAAACTGGAAGTGAGTACTGCAGAAACACTAGGGGACAACTGTGAAGTACCTGAACCAGTAATTGCAATCTATGTCCCTACCTCCCACTCTATGCAATAACTTGAGGAAAAAAAGGATATTAAGTTGGCTCTCTGAGAATTACCTGTAAAACAAACAAAACGAAAGAAACAAAAATGGGAAGGAAAGAAAGAGGAAAGGAAGCAGACAGAGGCAAAGTCACTTTAAAGAGAGAAAATGATTCTCTGTTCAGAGTAAAATTTGACTGGATGCATTAACAAATCAAAATAAATGTATCCTTCAAAAGGCATAATTCGTCAGCAGGGTTACAAAATTATCTCAGTTGTGGAGATTAAAGAATCAGCCTCAATGTATTCAGAAAGTAAATCAGGTGTTTACCTTCCCTTATTCTGAATTTTTTTTTTTTTTTTTGAGATGGAGTTTCGCTCTTGTTGCCCAGGCTGGAGCGCAAGGGCACAGTCTCGGCTCCCCGCAACCTCCACCTCCTGGGTTCAAGCAATTCTCCTGCCTCAGCCTCCCGAGTAGCTGGGATTACAGGGATGCACCACCACGCCTGGCTAATTTTGTATTTTTTTAGTAGAGATGGTTTTTCTCCATGTTGGTCAGGCTGGTCTCAAATTCCTGATGTCAGGTGATCCACCCACCTCAGCCTCCCAAAGTACTGGCATTACAGGTGTGAGCCACTGCACCCAGCTGATTTTTTACCCATGAAATAAGCTTGTGATTATAATGGGGCACTCAAACCATTTGCACCTGGAGTTCTGTGCCAGTGTAAATGCTCCAGTTCCTTTTCTAACTGTAAACCCATGTATGGCATGTTGGTTGTGTGCTTCCAATGCTGTACGTTTAGTTAAGATGAGTCTGCTCATCACAGACCAGATCAATCTTGTTTGTTGACAAAATCGGGTATCTGAACCTTCAAGGCAAAGAGCCAGGTTCTAATTAACCCAGATAACCTTGGTCTGGCCAGGTCTCTGGCAGACAGCAAGATGACCTCCCTACCAACTCCCTGACCTGTTCCAGGAACATATCTTCAAAATATTATTTTCTAAGTAGGATCAGGAGAAACTGTGGAGATCCTTAATGGATTCTGCCATGGCCTAATAAGAACAGAGAACCAGAGGGGTTAGATACGGAAGACTATGAGACAGATGGGTTAATCTAAAGGATGATAGCAGGAAAATGAGAGGGCCAGCAGCATTCTTACCTAGGAAGTACTACTGGGCACTTCAGAATTGAATATCCCCATAAGAAAGTTGTTTGATGAGACCCAGAACTGACTTACTGAAATGAAGAGTAGCACAACCAGTGTTTTTAAATAGGAAACTTTTCATCTTGACTTCTCCTTTTTTTTTTTTTTTTTTTTTTTTTTTTGAGACAGAGTCTTGCTCTATCGTTCAGGCTGGAGTGCAGTGGCGCGATCTTGGCTTACTGCAACCTCCAACTCTCAGATTCAAGAGATTCTCCCACCTCAGCCTCCCAAGTAGCTGGGACTACAGGCACA
Organism: Homo sapiens; assembly: GCF_000001405.40. Classification (NCBI taxonomy): domain Eukaryota; kingdom Metazoa; phylum Chordata; class Mammalia; order Primates; family Hominidae; genus Homo; species Homo sapiens. The sequence goes on along the minus strand of NC_000003.12, from coordinate 170,348,707 downwards.
TGCCATCACGCCCGGCTAATTTTTTGTATATTTAGTAGAGACGGGGTTTCACCATGTTAGCCAGGATGGCCTCAATCTCCTGACCTAGTGATCTGCCCACCTCAGCCTCCCAAAGTGCTAGGATTACAGGTGTAAGCCACCGTGCCCAGCCTCATGTTGACTTCTTACTACCCAAAAAGTACCCATCAAAGCACCAGAGCAATTTTTCTGAAAGTGGGATTTGCCAAGTGCCTGCACCAGAATCATCTAAGGAGCCTGTTAAAAATATGGGTTCTTGGGCCCTAGAACTACCAAATTAGAATATTAGGGATCAGAATGCAGGAATCTTCCTCCTTTAACCCTTTTTTTTTTTTTGAGACAGTTTCACTCCATCACACAGGCTGTAATGCAATGGCTCGATCTTGGCTCACTGCAACCTCCACCTCCTAGGTACTAGCAATTCTTCTGCCTCAGCCTCCCAAGTAGTTGGAATTGTAGACGCGCACCACCATGGCTGGCTAATTTTTGTATTTTTAGTAGAGACGGGGTTTCGCCATGTTGGCCAAGCTGGTCTTGAACTCCTGACTTCAGGGTGACCCGCCCACCTCCGCCTCCCAAAGTGCTGGGATTACAGGCCTGAGCCACTGTGCCCGGCTTTCTTCCTTTAATCTCTATTAAGCAAGCTCCCAAGTGCTTCTCTGTCCTCTCAAGTTTAAGATGCTCTATACCAAGTGAAGGGAAGTATACAGAAAAAGTAGAGGGAACAGTTCCCCTACCCAAAGGGTGACCAAGGGACAATGGTGGCAGCAGGGTCACTCAGATTGGCCACTCAGGCAGGCAGGACAAAAGTGTAATGCAGACTTTCCTAAGAGAAGGAACAGGCCCGACTGTCCAAGATAGGCCCGCTGCTCCACCACCTTGAAAGTAGTTTTTTAAATGCTCTTTAGCAAAATTGGCATAATTAAGTAAAAGGAGCACTCTGGAATTCTCTCTCTGTTTCTCTCTCTCTCTCTCTCTCTCTCTGGGCAACATGGCAAGACCCCGTCTCTACTAAAAATACAAAAAAATAGCCTAGCATAGTGCTGCACACCTGTGGTCCCAGCTACTCAGAGGCTGAGGTGGGAGGATTGCCTGAGCCTGGGAGACAGAGGTTGCAATGGTCCAAGATGGCACCACTGCACTCCAGCCTGGGTGACAGAGCAAGACCCTATCTCAAAAAAAAAAAAAAAAAGAAAAGAAAAGAAGAAAAAGAAAAAAATGTCAGGCCGGGCGCCGTGGCTCACGCCTGTAATCCCAGCACTTTGGGAGGCCGAGGCGAGCAGATCACGAGGTCAGGAGATCGAAACATGGTGAAACCCGGTCTCTACTAAAAATACAAAAAATTAGCCGGGCATGGTGGCGGATGCCTGTAGTCCCAGCTACTGGGGAGGCTGAGGCAGGAGAATCGGTGAATCCGGGAGGTGGAGGTTGCAGTGAGCCGAGATCATGCCACTGCACTCCAGCCTGGGTGACACAGTGAGACTCCGTCTCAAAAAAAAAAAAAAATTTCAAATCCTTTGACTCAACAATTATTCCAAGAAATGTATCCTAACAAAGAGAGTGGAAAAAATGCTAAAAGATGTATAACAAATATGTGCATCAACGGCATTTACCATAACAAAAAATTAGAAACTTTCTAATTGAATTATTTCAATCATGATGCATGCAACTCCTCCATCCTCTTCTAACAGAAACCATCTCACTCACTTACTCTGGCCTTAGGGTATTCTCTGAGCAAAGGATGGTTGCTGAATGAGTCAGGAGCAGGGACCAGAACCATAGTCTAACCAAAAACCTAGACTTAGCCTGACCCAAAAAGCCCAGCCCAGAGGGTTAATACTGATTAATTAGGCCAATTAGACTTTCTCTTTTTATAATTTAACAGGAAAAGACGGAGTTAGTTAGCCAAGTGGAATTTATGCATTTTCCCTTATAAATGAGTTATATATTAAGTTATATATTAAAACCTCAGGCAGTAAAATGATTATTTGCAAATATGCCTAATGTATTAAAGTTATTTTCCAGAAAAAAATGTTAACAACACTGTTGTTTTATTCATTAATGTTTCAACCACTTCCCAGTTAAATTAGTTACGGTAGGTGGTCAACATATTCTTTCAATTGACAGCAGGGGAAATAAGTGTTGATACTATTCTCACGAAGTTAACTATCCTGGATTTAAAGCTTACTAGAATTGGCCTCTGTGGGAAATAAATATTGGCTCTGTTGCCAAAATCAGAGACTGGATTTCTAATGAATAGGTTTCTTTTGCACAGGTAATATAGATTTTAAAGAAACCACATGGTCTCATTAAAGGTTAATGTAAATGTGAAATTACTACCCTGAAGTTCCATCAACCACTTTGTCAATTTTTAGATAAACCAGTTTCTCAAATAAAGCTCTATATAATACCTTTATTTAATGATTATTATTTTTTATTTATTTATTTTTGAGGAATTTCACTCTTGTTGCCCAGGCTGGATGCAATGGCGCCATCTCGGCTCACCGCAACCTCCGCCTCCTGGGTTCAAGCGATTCTCTTGCCTCAGCCTCCCGAGTAGCTGGGATTACAGGCATGCGCCACTACGCCCAACTAATTTTGTGTTTTTAGTAGAGATGGGGTTTCTCCATGTTGATCAGGCTGGTCTTGAACTCCAGACCTCAGATGATCTGCCCGCCTCAGCCTCCCAAAGTGCTGGGATTACAGGTGTGAGCCACCACGCCCGGTCTATAATATTTTTTAAATGTGCTTTAGTCAGCTTCTCCTGAATGGACAAAGGCCAGGCCTTCAGTATTCAATATTTAAATATTTTACACATTCTAAAATACATATTAATAAAATAAATACTGCATTTTACGAAAGTGGAGAACAACATGCTAATAAATGTTGCAAAATTATTTAGTTGTAAACAATCATCCACACTGATGCAGACTTCTGAGGCCATTCACTAAATACATACGTATTGCAGAGATCATGGTGGGCCATAATAAATAGGAAGTAAGAGTCCAGTCTCCTGCAGGCCTCTGTGACCTCACCAGCAGCATCACACCTGCTTAGATATTCAGCTGAGATCTCTACCTAAACTGGAAGATCTTCTTATGTTGCCTCTCCAGGTTTGGCTTCTTGCTTCAGAAAATGATACCAATCATAATCTCTGCTCCATCTATTGTTCAAATATCAAAATGTCAGAAGTAGGCTTCAGCTGTTAATCAGCTGTATTGAATTTCTGTTCTTCAGGATATAAGTTCTCTGCACTTTAATTCTTATCAAAGCACAATTGTGAGGAATGCTATTCATCAAAGACTGCGTGGAGGACTGCAAGGCCATTTACTCTTTAGACATGTTATTTTTCCCTCCTTGGATTTTTCCCTTGGATCAAATCAGACTATCAGAAATGTTCAAACTTAAAACATGAAGAGTTCCCTTTCTGAAGAGGATTTTTTGGCATTATGTTCTCTATCTGTATATGGGATTTTCTAAGAAGGAGCCACCTATCTTTTGTTGGTTGAGGATGACTCGGTGTTTTCTTTATGAGAAGCCATGAGAGAAGTTTCTGTTGGGCCTTAACTGCTTTGCTTCTGTCTTGCAAAAACTAAGAGGAATCTTTTTTTTTTTTTTTTTTTTGCTCTTGTTACCCAGGCTGGAGTGCACTGGCACAATCTTGGCTCACTGCAACCTCCGCGTCCCGGGTTCAAGTGATTCTCCTGCCTCAGCCTCCCAAATAGCTGGGATTACAGGCACACACCACCATGCCCGGCTAATTTTTGTATTTTTAGTAGAGACAGGGTTTCACCATGTTAGTCAGGCTGGTCTCAAACTCCTGACCTCAGGTGATCCTCTCACCTTGGCCTTCCAAAGTGCTGGGATTACAGGCGTGACCCACCGCACCCAGCCCTAAGAGGATTCTTATTAATCACATTTTTTCCCCAGCTCCTTAGAAGCTCAGGATCACACTTGTAGGCTACCGCTAGCTGCGATTGTGTGTTGACTATACCCTTAGTTTGATTTTATTTCCCATCTTAAATTTCTCATTGCTCTCATTTCAGCTATGAGACAGGGAAGAAAGAGGGGAAGGAGAGAGGGAGGGAAAGAGAGAAGTCCAGGATAAGAGAAAGATAAACTGAAAGTTCTGGTTAATATGTCATTTGTTGATTCCTTTTGCGTACAAATAGAAGTGCCATGTCCACCTTATAAACACTAAGATGACTTTCATCTTAGTACAAAGTATTTGTACCAAGAGGATCTCAGAACTAAAAGAGAGAGAGAGAAAAAAAAAAAAACCAAAAAACTTTGTCATTATTTTCATCCATCCTGTCCATATAATTTAATCAGATAATTTTGGTTAATGAGTAGATATCCATTCCATTAGCTTTAAGTCACATGGAGGTGGTGGATTATAAGGAAAACCGTAACTGCAACCAGAAAGTCCTCAGGCTCCCAGGTAGCCAAGTACACCTTCTTTTCTTCATAACTTTGACTTACAAGTGGTATCGTTAGAGGCGTGTGAACCAGTTACAGGCAACTACATGTAAAATAGAAGCTGGGTAAAATAAGGCTGAAACCTACTGGGCTGCATTCCCAGACGGTTAAGGCATTCTAAGTCACAGGATGAGATACGAGGTCAGCAGGAAATACAGGTCATAAAGACCTTGCTGATAAAACAGGTTGCAGTAAAGGAGCCAGCCAAAAACCCTCCAAAACCTAAATGGCCACGAGAGCAATGTCTGGTCATCCTCACTGCTACACTCCACCAGTGCCATGACAGTTTACAAATGCCATGGCAATGACAGGAAGTTACCCTATATGGTCTAAAAAGGGGAGGCACGAATAATCCACTCCTTGTTTAGCATATCATCGAGAAATAACCATAAAAATGGGCAACCAACAGCCTTCGGGGGCTGCTCTGTGTATAGAGTAGCCATTCTTTTATTCCTTTACTTTCTTGGTTTTTTTTTTTTTTTTTTTTTTTTTGAGATGGAGTTTCGCTCTTGTTGCTCAGGCTGGAGTGCAATGGTGCCATCTCGGCTCACCGCAACCTCCGACTCCCGGGTTCAAGCGATTCTCCTGCCTCAACCCCCTCTCCCCCCGCCCTCACACCCCGCCCCCCCGCCCTAGTAGCTGGGATTACAGGCACGGCCACCACCCCCAGTTAATTTTGTGTTTTTAGTAGAGACGGGGTTTCTCCATATTGGTCAGGCTGGTCTCGAACTCCCAACCTCAGATGATCCGCCCGCCTCGGTCTTCTAAAGTGCTGGGACTACAGGTGTGAGCCACTGCACCCAGTTTATTTCTTTACTTTCTTAATAAACTTGCGGCTCACATCTGTAATCCCAGCACTTTGGGAGACCGAGGCGGCAGATCACGAGGTCAAGAGATTGAGACCATCCTGGCCAACATGGGGAAACCCTATTTCTACTAAAAATACAAAAATTAGCCGGGTGTGGTGGCATGCCTGTAGTCGTAGCTCTTCAGGGGGCTGAGGCAGGAGAATAGATTGAACCCAGGAGGCAGAGGTTGCAGTGAGCTGAGATGGCGCCATTGCACTCCAGCCTGGCAACAGTGTGAGACTCCGTCTCAATGAAATGAAATAAAAAATAAATAAACTTGCTTTCGCTTTGGACTGCGGACTTGCCCTGATTTCTTTGTTGCGTGAGATCCAAGAACCCTCTCTTGGGGTCTGGATCAGGACCCCTGTCCTGTAACATATTTCTGGCGACCACAGAAGGGACTACAGTGCAGAAACCCCCGACCCAGCGGCTACTTTTGGGTAAGTGTTGGGGTCTGGTAACATCTTTCTCATGAACCACAAAAGGGACAATACTGAGGAGACCCCCTGACCCAAAGGAAATAGACTGCAGCACTGATTGGACGACTTTGGGTAAGTGATGGGGTACCCAGATAAAGAATGGGATCGGGTTAGAGGCCAAAACTTAGGAGAGTTAGAGTCTCTTCTAAAACAAAGTGCATTAGAGGTCCCTCTTAATAAAAGGCAAGGATGCAGCCAGGCATGTTGGCTCACGCCTGTAATCCCAGCACTTTGGGAGGCTGAGGCAGGCAGATCACAAGGTCAGGAGTTCGAGACCAGTCTGGCCAAGATAGTGAAACCTCATCTCCACTAAAAATAAAAAAAGTTAGCCGGGTGTGGTGGTGTGCACCTGTAATCCCAGCTACTCAGGAGGCTGAGGCAGGAGAATAGCGTAAACCCAGGAGGCAGAGGTTGCAGTGAGCCGAGATAGTGCTATTGCACTCCAGCCTGGGTGACAGAGCAAGACTCTGTCTGAAGAAAAAGGACAAGAACGCTTCTCCGACCTTAGGGTTAGAGGCCCAACTTAGAAGAGTTAGAGTCCCTTCTAAGATTTAGGGTATTGGAGGCCCCTCTCAGTAAAGGCCCTCTCGGCTAAGAACAGGTTCGGCACTATGGGATGCTATTCTCTTTGGATTAATCTGCTTTGCACTGTTTGCTGATGGCTGTGGGTGACAGTGTTAGGCATGTACAGGATCATGGAACATGGGGAGCTTTTTCCTCCCCAGAAGGGGAAACTTGAGAGCTGATGGCACTGCTGGAAAAGATCCCTTTGCTACTGACAAGCGGCCGCCTGAACTTTTCATTGTCGGCTGCAATGAGTGGGTCTTTTCTCTGGCTCCCTAAGCTCTTCACCTTCCCCACCCTGCCGCAGATAATACTTTCCTTCTCTAATTTTCCTTTCTCTTTTCTGTTACTCAGGGCAACCATCTTGCCCAGAGACCACGTGTTGAAACTCCAAATCAGAGGTTGGATCAAAGGTGACGGGCCTGGCTGGGCATGGTGGCTCACACTTGTAATCCCAGAACTTTGGGAGCCTGAGGCTTGGGATCACGAGGTCAGGAGTTCGAGACCAGCCTGGCCAACATAGTAAAACCCCATCTCTACTAAAAATACAAAAATTATCTGGGTGTGGTGGCGGGCGCCTATAATCCCAGCTACTTGGGAGTCTGAGGCAGGAGAATAGCTTGAACCCGGGAGGCAGAAGTTGCAGTAAGCCGAGAACGTGCCACTGCACTACAGCCTGGGCAACAGAGTGAGACTCTGTCACAAAACACAAAAAACAAACAAAAAATGACGAGGTTCATCTGGGGGCAAATTTAAGCCTTGTCAGTTTGATATTGGTTGCTAAGCAGAGTGGCTAATGTCTATGTTTTATCACACATATTTTGCTCTGGCCAAAATGAAAAAAAATGTAATTTCCCTTTATGATGCGGCTTGGCCCCCAGGGCGATGGTGCCACAAGCCTGATCAGTAGTGCTGCTCAGGGAAAGGGAACCCAGAAGCCTGGTGTGCTGGCAAAAGGGTAAGAATTTTCCTACCAGTCAGATTTCTGGCTTATCTCTCTGTACAGATGGTTTGATGAATGGTTAAAACAAAACAAAACAAACAAACAAACAAACAAAAACCAGTGCTTATTTCCTCTGTAAAGTTTTGATTAATGTGAAAAGAATTCTAAGGCTAATCTTAAGCTGGTGTATTTTGTGCTATGAATTTGTTTTTCTGTGTTGAAGGGTACTTTAGGATAAAACACGGACTTGGAACACCTGTAAGCCCACTTTTCAAGACCACCCAGCAAGCTGGTCAGTAACAAGCTTGGCTGCAGCTCCCTGAAACAAAAAAACTGGATGAAGTCTCCACGTTTTTTTATGTTCTTGGGAGCCTGACCTTTTAACCATGTGGCAGTACTTTATTTTGGTCTCTGCCATCAGGGAACAGGAATTTTAGGATTTATATCATATTCATCTCTAAAAATCATATTAAATTGTTAAAAAGCCTTTGGAAGCTCAAAATTAACTACTCTAGGCTCGTTCCAGGAAAAGAAGTGGGGACTGCCCATGCTGTAGCTCAGAAGCTGAGATTTTACACTTTCACAGTGGTGGTCCAGGTTTGATTCCCCACCTAGGAAGTAAGTCGTTTCTGGTTTAATATCTGCGTAAACTTGTCTATTCTCTTCTCCTCCACAGACTGTCTTACATTTTCCTTTCTCTATGTACCTGGGAGATTACCTTTGGTAAGTTTAAAAAGCCAGAAATATCTGCCATTTGGCATAAGAAATTCTAAAGGAACTTTAATAAAGAGTGCTATGGTTAAAATCAGTATAATTAAAAGTGGATATTCAAGCTCTAACAGCCTGGACTCCTTGGGAAAAACAGGAGGCACAGGAGACCCCTTTCCTGGCCATGTTCTTCCAAGGGCTCCACCATAAAGCCATTAATGCAATTAAGAAACTTAAAAACCAGGCCGGGCATAGTGGCTCACACTTGTAATCCTAGCAGTCTGGGAGGCTGAAGCAGGTGGATCATGAGGTCAGGAGATCGAGACCATCCTGACTAACACAGTGAAACCCCGAATCTACTAAAAAATACAAAAAATTGGCTGGGCGCGGTGGCTCACGCCTGTAATTCCAACACTTTGAGAGGCCGAGGTGGGCAGATCACCTGAGGTCAGGAATCCCAGACCAGCTTGGCCAACATGGTGAAACCCCGTCTGTACTTAAAACACAAAAAATTATCTGGATGTGGTGGTATGCACCTGTAATCCCAGCTACTTGGGAGGATGAGGCAGGAGAATCAACTGAACCCGGGAGGGGGATGTTGCAGTGAGCCGAGACAGTGCCACTGCATTCCAGCCTCGGGAACAAGAGCAAGACTTCATCTCAAAAAAAAAAAAAAAAAATTAGCCAGACATGGTAGTGGGCGCCTGTAGTCCCAGCTACTCAGGAGGCTGAGGCAGGAGAATGGTGTGAACGTAGGCAGTGAGCCTAGATTGTGCCACTGCACTCCAGCCCAGGTGACAGAGCAACACTCTGTCTCAAAAAAAAAAAAAGAAACTTAAAAACTGGCAAATGAAAAATCTTACACCTACTGTAGTAATCTTCTTCTGTCTTTCTGTGTACCTGTATATGTGTTGTGTATAATGTTTATACAAAAAAGCTCTAATTAATTGGCTTAAACAAAAATAATCACTTAAATCAAATATTTTGAAAGCATGGCCAGGTGCGGTGTCTCATGCCTATAATCCCAGCACTTTGGGAGGCTGAAGTGGGTGGATCACCTGAGATCAGGAGTTCAAGACCAGCCTGGCCAACATGGTGAAACCCCATCTCTACCAAAAATACAAACATTAGCCAGGCATGGTGGTGCCTGCTTGTAGTCCCAGCTACCCGGGAGGCTGAGGGAGGAGAATCACTTGAACTTGGGAGGCAGAGGTTGCAGTGACCCCAGATTGCACACTGCACTCTAGCCTGGGTGACAGAGTGAGACTCTGGCTCAAAAAATATATATATATATTTTGAAAGCAAAACACAAACTGTAATGCCTTTTAGTTCATGTGACTTCAGTAATCTTTGGGAAATAAAAACAGCTTTAAAAATTATTGATAAAACATTTAGTCTAAATTATACAGGTCAAATATTAAGTTTGCTAAATGCTTTAAGGTCATAAACTGCTTCTTTAACTTTTAAAAATTGTTCAATGGATATCTTAAAGCCATTAGATTCTAGATAAGGCCTGCAGACATGTGGAATTAGCCATGCCCCCTAGCTATACAAAGAAGATTATAAAGAAAGAGATTTTATGTAAGAAAAGATCTTGTGTGATAAATTCTTGTTCTAAAGTAAATTGATGGGTTGTTTAAAAGGAGGGAAGTTTAGGGCAAGTCACAAAGTCCAAGAATGTCTCAGATGGTCTGTGTAAGTCGTGAAAGGGAATTTATGCAAGAAATGTACAATTCAAAGGTTGTTAGGTCTCCTAAATGCTTCATAAAATGCCACTATGACTCTTACTGTACAACTTGCCTGCTTAAGTAAGGTAAGGCCTGGGGCTGTGTGGAGTTAGCCTTGCCCCCTAGCTATGCTGGAGAGTCAGCCCTTATCTGCACTTCTGTGTGGTATGTCCTAGGCTAAGCTTCACACCTAGTACACAATTAAAATGGCTTACTAACCAGGGTTTTCACCAAAAGTAGAAGTGGCTAAAAGTTAACATTGTGACATGTAATTGAGACTATTGAATAAACAATTTTACATGTAAGATGTCTAAGGAAAGTAGAATGTACTTTTGGTAAAAGATTATAACAAGGCATGGGAATATGGTTTTATTGCCTAAAGGGTTAAAGAATTGTTTTAACTTAGAGTAAAGCTAAAGGTTTAAACAAGTTATGGAAGGTTTATAAAAATTAATTTTAAGAAATTCTGTATGTGAACATGTTGACTAAAGTTAAAGGGGTATTATTCAGTTTTTCCATAAATTAAATATTGGAATAAAAGCACAACAGGTTTTTCTTAGAGCACTAATCTGCTCTTTCACAAAAAAAAAAAAAAAAAAAGAAGGGGTTATAAAAGGTTTATAAGAATCTTACCTTACGGCTAAACATTAAAATTGGGTAAATATGTCTATAAGGTTTTATTAAAAATTGGGTTTAACATTAATAGTACATTAATGTGAAGGTGAAATTTGGCTTATTTGGTATAAGAATCATACAGGAAGCATTATCAAATGTGGAATGGTATTTTGCTTTCTTTGGACTATATTTGCATAAATGTGTTATTGGTATAAGTTCCAAAGTTATGGAAACTCCTGTAATTCTAATATGACTTAGTGTATGTTATCAGAAATTATAATTGTTATGTAAAATTTTGTGTGCCACAGAAGTAACCAAATTTCCTTGTCAATTGTGGCTTTAATAGCGGCTATCCTAAAACTTTTTATCTTCCACAGACAAGTGTTGTCTTGTTTTAATCCTCTTTAGAAGGTGGTTTATAATCAATTATAGAACTCTAACAGGTGTTCTTAAATGCAGGTTTTTCTGTAACTTTGGAGACTGTGACATCAAAATAGAGGAAAAAGCTTTCAGAACTCTCATAGAGAACTAAAATGTTAGTAACTATCAAATAGAAGTTAACTACATGGGCTAAACTGAAGAAGTCTAATCTTTTTAACTTTGCTTAAAACGCTGCTGATCCTTTGTTTTGTTTTTCAGAGTCAAGAAAACTTTTCTTTCGAGCTATTTATAGCTTTTAACAGTTGAGTATATTCCTATGAACAAATTTGGAGCATATTTGTTTCTCTCTACCTGATTTCTCCCAAATTTGGAAAGTAGTTGTTGAGTATTCTTAACTTATAGCAATATAGTTATTTGCATAGGTGCAATAAGAATCTGTTTTCTTTTGTAACAGGACGCAACTGGAGAAATTGGTTATTTTGCCAAGGCTTTGACTGGAATGGTGTGTTTTTCTTTAGGGAATTAAACTTGACTTATAGAGCCAATGAAAGCCCTGTGGGGAAGTGGCCTCATACCTTGCCTACAACAGTCCCTGTGCAGGGTTTCTGACCTGTGGTGAGTAAAGAATGTCACTTTCTGACAGGTCCAGGAGCCCCAAGTTATTTTGGACCTCAAGAGGAAAGAAATTTACCCAACTCATATGTATTTGAGGTTACAAACCCATAGTTGGGCTCAGCTTTAAAAAAGTCTTATCTAAAATTCTTTCTATGGAACAGAATTACATCAAAGCCAATTTAAAAAGAGCTTCTGCTGGGCACAGTGGCTCATGCCTGTAATCCCAGCACTTTGGGAGGCTAAGGTGGGCAGATCACCTGAGGTCAGAAGGTTGAGACCAGCCTGGCCAACATGGTAAAACCCCATCTCAACTAAAAATACAAAAATTAGCTGGGCATGGTGGTGGGCGTCTGTAATCCCAGCTACTCAGGAGCCTGAGGGAGGAGAATCACTTGAACCCAGGAGGCGGAGGTTGTAGTGAACCAAGATCGTGCCATTGCACTCCAACCTGGGCAACAAGGTGAGACTCCATCTCAAAAAATATAAATATAAAATAAAAAATAAATAAAAACAAAAAGATCTTATGTGAAAAATAATTATTCTTGCTGCACTTTATACAAATAATCAGGCCAAGTATAATATAGCAAATCACTGTTACCATGATTTGTCTATAGTAAAAATGGGAAACTGGAGAGAGAAATATATTTCAAAAACTATGGTATACTTGTTATTAGAGTCTAGTCTCATTAGTTGTTTTTAAATTTTGCTTTTTTAATGTAGGCTAACCTTGCTTATTCCTTTTTTTTTTTTTTTTTTGAGACAGAGTCTCGCTCTGCTGCCCAGGCTAGAGTGCGGTGGCACAATCTCAGCTCACTGTAACCTCTGCCTCCCAGGTTCAAGTGATTCCCCTGCCTCAGCCTCCCAAGTAACTGGGACAACAGGCAGGCACCACAACACTCAGCTACTTTTTTATATTTTTAGTAGAGATGGGGTTTCACCATATTGGCCAGGCTGGTCTCGAACTCCTGATCTCGTGATCCACCTGACTTGGCCTCCCAAAGTGCTGGGATTACAGGCGTGAGCCACTATTCCTGGCAACCCTGCTTATTCCTGTGAACCAAACAGTAATCGCTGACTGTTGCTCAGAAGAAACAAGAGGGATGGGTAATATAAACATTTGGATCAGTATTCTAAGTCTGGGCACATTACAATCAGCTAAAAACCCCATATTGACTTAGTTCCAACAGTTGCCCAGTTCATGAAAGGCCTTCTAATTTAACTTGGAATAGTTTACTTATTTGCTTTACTCTTTTTTTTTTTTTTTTTTTTTTGAGACAGAGTTTTGCTCTTGTCGCCCAGACTGGAGTGCAATGGCATGATCTCGGCTCACTGCAACCTCCACCTCTTAGGTTCAACCAATTCTCCTGCCTCAGCTTCCCAAGTAGCTGTGATTACAGGCATGCCCACCATGCCTAGCTAATTTTGTATTTTTAGTAGAGGCGGGGTTTCGCCATGTTGATCAGGCTAGTCTTGAACTCCTGACCTCAAGTGACTTGCCCGTGTCAGCCTCCCAAAGTGCTGGGATTATAGGCATTAGCCACCATGCTTGGCCTATTTTGCTTTACTCTTGGGGAATATATTGCCGTTGTACTTTGTGTAGGAACACAGGACAAGTTTACTGAATCTTTTCTTAAAGACTTATTAATCTTGCAGATATCACTTCTTGTCGAAACTCAAGAGTTATGAGTGTATCTTACCATACTGAAGCTTTCTGACTAAGCTCCTCTCTACCCAGAATGCAAGAGACCCTCATAGTTATGCAGGAATATCATCCCCCTATTCAGCCTGAAGAAGTTACAGAAGATGGATCTTCTTCCCTCTGCAGCCCTTAGGATTAAGGCTTCTCTTATAAAAGGGAGGGGGGAAATGTCTGAGGTTCGTGAATCACAGCAACTCCATCTTTTTTTTTTTTTTTTGGAGATGGAGTCTTGCTCTGTTGCCCGGGCTGGAGTGCAGTGGTGCAATCTTGGCTCACTGCAACCTCCACCTTCTGGGTTCAAGCAATTCTCCTGCCTCAGCCTCCCCAGCAGCTAGGACTACAGGTGCGTGCCACCACACCCAGCTAATTTTTTGTATTTTTAGTAGAGACAGGGTTTCACTGTGGTAGCCAGGATGCTCTCGATCTCCTGACCTTGTGACCTGCCCACCTCAGCCTCCCAAAGTGCTGGGATTACAGGCATGAGCCACCGGACCTGGTGCAACTCCATCTTAAATAGGAGCTGGGTAGAATAGGGCTGAAACTTACTGGGCTGCATTCCCAGGCAATTAAGGCATTCTGAGTCACAGGGTAAGATAGCAGGTCAGCACAAAATACAGGTCATAAAGACCTTGCTGATAAAACAGGTTGCAGTGGCCGGGCACAGTGGCTCACACCTGTAACCTCAGCACTGTGGGAGGCCGAGGCAGGTGGATCACCTGAGGTCAGTAGTTCAAGACCAGCAAGGCCAACATGGCGAAACCCCATGTCTACTAAAAATATAAAAATTAATCAGGTGTGGTGGTAGCAGGCACCTGTAATCCCAACTACTCAGGAGGCTGAGGCAGGAGAATCGCTTGAACCCGGGAGGCAGAGGTTGCAGTGAGCTGAGATTGCGCCACTGAACTCCAGCCTGGGCAGCACAGTAAGACTCTGCCTCAGGAAAACAAACAAACAAACAAAACAGGTTGCAGTAAAAGAGGTGACCAAAACCCACCAAAACCAAAATGGTGACGAGAGTGACCTCTGGTCATCCTCACTGCTACAGTCCCACCAGCACCATGACAATTTACAGATGCCATGGCAATGTCAGGAAGTTACCCTATATGGTATAAAAAGGGGAGGCATGAATAATCCACCCCTTGTTTAGCGTATGGTCAAGAAATAACCATAAAAATGGGCAACCAGCAGCCCTCAGGGCTGCTCTATGGAATAGCCATTCCTTTATTCCTTTTTTTTTTTTTTTTGAGATGGAATCTCGCTCTGTCACCCACGGTGACGTACAGTGACACGACCTCAGCCCACTGAAACCTCCGCCTCCTGGGTTCAAGCAATTCTCCTGCCTCAGCCTCCCAAGTAGCTGGGCCTTCAGGCATGTGCCACCATGCGCGGCTAATTTTTGCATTTTTAGCAGAGACAGGGTTTTCTCATGTTGGCCAGGATGCTCTTGAACTCCTGACCTCAGGTGATCCTCCCGCCTCAGCCTCCCAAAGTGCTGAGATTACAGGCGTGAGCCACTGCACCTGGCCAGAATCTTTCTTTTCTTTCTTTTATTGAGATAGATTCTCACTCTGTCACTCAGGCTGGAGTGCAGTGGTGCAATCACAGCTCACTCCAGCCTTCACTTCCCTAACTCAAGTGATCCTTGAACTTCAGCCTCCAGAGAAGCTGTGACTACAGGTGTGTGCCACCACACCCAGCTAGTTTTTATAATTTTGTGTAGAGATGAGTCTCACTATGTTGCCCAGGGTGGTCTCAAAATCCTGGGCTCAAGTGATCCCCCTACCTCAGCCTCCCAAAGTGCTGGGACTACAGTCATGAATCACCATGCCCAGCCATCTCAACCTTTCTTAATCTCATGTGCATTTACCACATTATGTCTTATAATGTAATTTATTTATTTTTAGATAATTTATTTTTTCTCTTGAGACAGGGTTTCACTCTTGTTGCCCAGGCTGGAGTGCAATGGCGTGATCTCAGCTCACGGCAACCTCCGCCTTCCAGGTTCAAGTGATTCTACTGCCTCAGCCTCCTGAGTAGCTGGGATTACAGGCGCCCACCACCATGACCAGCTAATTTTTGTATTTTTAGTAGATACAGGGTTTCACCGTGTTGGCCAGGCTGGTCTCGAACTCCTGACCTCAGGTAAAACCTTCATCTACCATGTACAATCTGGCAGGGCAGAAACTGCATCTTCTTCATATCTGTGTCCTCAAGGTTTGCTGTGGTTCCTTTACATAGTAGTCTCAATAAGTATTCGTTCTTGACAGTGCAGAAGTTGATACATTGAGTTTTTCTGCTAACCCACCAATAAATAATAATCTTACCTGATGAGCAAAATATTGAAACACAGCCTAAATTCTTTTTTTTGTAACAGTTTCCTCTCACCTTCTGATAATTTTTAGCATTTAAAAGAATGCTTTAAAAGAATTTAAAAGAATTATTTGACAAACCTGACAAAAACAAGAAATGGGGAAAGGATTACCTACTTAATAAATGGTGCTGGGAAAACTGGCTAGCCATATGTAGAAAGCTGAAGCTGGATCCCTTCCTTACACCTTATACAAAAATTAATTCGAGATGGATTAAAGACTTAAATGTTAGACCTAAAACCCTAAAAACCCTAGAAGAAAACCTAGGCAATACCATTCAGGACATAGGCATGGGCAAGGACTTCATGACTAAAACACCAAAAGCAATGGCAACAAGAGCCACAATTGACAAATGGGATCTAATTAAACTAAAGAGCTTCTGCACAGCAAAAGAAACTACCATCAGAGTGAACAGGCAACCTACAGAATGGGAGAAAATTTTTGCAATCTACCCATCTGACAAAAGGCTAATATCCAGAATCTAAAAAGAACCTAAACAAATTTACAAGAAAAAAAAAACCATCAAAAAGTGGGCAAAGGATATGAACAGACACTTCTCAAAAGAAGACATTTATGCAGCCAACAGACACATGAAAAATGCTCATCATATCTGGTCATCAGAGAAATGCAAATCAAAACCACAATGAGATACCATCTCACGCCAGTTAAAATGGCGATCATTAAAAAGTCAGGAAACAACAGATCATTAAAAAGTCAGGCGATCATTAAAAAGGAAACAACAGATGCTGGAGAGGATGTGGAGAAATACGAATGCTTTTATACTATTGGTGAGAGTGTAAACTAGTTCAACCATTGTGGAAAACAGTGTGGCGATTCTTCAAGGATCTAGAACCAGACATACCATTTAACCTTGCCATCCCATTACTGGGTATATACCCAAAGGATGATAAATCATGCTACTATAAAGACACATGCACACGTATGTTTATTGTGGCACTATTCACAATAGCAAAGACTTGGAACCAACCCAACTGTCCATCAACGATAGACTGGATTAAGAAAATGTGGCACATATAC
The DNA here is from genome assembly GCF_000001405.40 of Homo sapiens. Taxonomy (NCBI): domain Eukaryota; kingdom Metazoa; phylum Chordata; class Mammalia; order Primates; family Hominidae; genus Homo; species Homo sapiens. The sequence goes on along the minus strand of NC_000003.12, from coordinate 170,332,224 downwards.
ACCATGGAATACTATGCACCCATAATAAAAGGATGAGTTCATGTCCTTTGCAGGGACATGGATGACGCTGGAAACCATCATTCTCAGCAAACTATCACAAAGACAGAAAACCAAACACCACATGTTCTCACTCATAGGTGGGAATTGAACAATGAGAACACTGGGACATAGGGTGGGGAACATCACACCCCGGGGCCTGTTGTGGGCTGGGGGGCTGGGGGAGGGATAGCATTAGGAGAAATACCTAATGTAAATGAAGAGTTAATGGGTGCAGCAAACCAACATGGCACATGTATACTTACGTAACAAACCTGCACGTTGTGCACATGTACCCTAGGACTTAAAGTATAATAAATAAATAAATAATTTTTTAAAAACTCGGCTTTTTTTTTTTTTGAGACGGAGTCTTGCTCTGTCGCCTGGGCTGCAGTACAATGGCACAGTCTTGGCTCACTGTAACCTCCGTTTCCTGGGTTCAAGCGATTCTCCTGTCTCAGCCTCCTGAGTAGCTGGGATTACAGGCACCCACCACCACACCTGGCTGATTTCTGTATTTTTAGTAGAGACGGGGTTTCACCATGTTGGCCAGGCTGGTCTTGAACTCCTGACCTTAGGTGATCCATCTGCCTTGGCCTCCCAAAGTGTTGGGATTATGGGTGTGAGCCACCAGGCCCGGCCATATTTTTAAATTGAATAAAAAATCAACCAATTACAGACAGAAAAGCAGAAGTAGGTTTTTGCCTCTTTCTAAGGCCCTTACTCCCTGCCTTTACTCTCTTTCAGTGCGCAGGGAAGTCTCCCATGACTGGGCAGTCTAAATATGCCCTTTGTCTGTGTGCAAAAGGGTGCCTGCCCTTTGGACCCTTTCACTGTGGCTGCGGGCTATCAGTCCTGAATGGGGACTTCTAACCCTCCACCTGCACGGGTTTCCTGTGCTGGCTGACACACTTACGTGTACAAAATCTTATCATTAAATCAACACAGTCAGGCTCCTCAAGGGATTGCCTTTTTCCTGATAGAGCACTTCCTACCCATTCATTCTTGCTTTGTCAGTGAGAAGCATAATATTTTTAATTCACTCTGATGAAGTGCTAGAGTTTTGTATTGACTGTTAAGGAGATGAGTATGGCCAAAGTATAGGTTTAGGTCTACTTTAGGGATCATGAATTTGGCCAGAGAATGTAACTTCTTTGGTCTTCAGTGTTTCTCTCTTTCTCTCCCCACCTTCTTTTTTTTTTTTTTTTGAGACAGAGTCTTTCTCTGTCGCCCAGGCTGGAGTGCAGTGGTGTGATATCGGCTCACTGCAACCTCTGCCTCCCAGGTTCAAGCAATTCTCTGCCTTAGCCTCCTGAGTAACTGGGATTACAGGTGCCTGGCACCATGCCTAGTTAATTTTTGTATTTTTAGTAGAGGCAGGGTTTCACCATCTTGGCCAGGCTGGTCTTGAACTCCTGACCTCGTGATCCACCAGCCTTGGCCTCCCAAAGTGCTGGGGTTACAGGGGTGAGCCACTGTGCCCGGCCCACCTTCTTCTTTCATTGAATTTGAAGGCCTTCAGCTAGAGCATACTCTTCAGTTTACCATGGCCCCAGCACGTCCTATCACTGGACCAGGGAAACATTTTCACACTCAGCAAGTACTACTATTCCCAGTGACCAGCTACCCTGGATCTACCTTGGCTCTGCTGACGCCGGTGACTCACATAGGCAAATTTTGTGATGAGTCAGAGGGGGCCTGGGTTCCTCGGTGTCTATGCCAGTTTTCTGACTGTTGTAAAGAGACCCAACCCTGTGGGATAACAGTTTGTGGGACAAGGAAGGCCAGCCACATAAGCCTCTCTTTACTTTGGTATGTATTGCCAAACAGCAAGAAGTCTTTAAAACACAATAAAAAATAAAACCCACAATCACAATACCAGTATCGTACCTTAAACAATTAACTATATATGTATATATTTGTTTGTTTGTTTGGTTTTGTTTGAGACAGTTTTGCTCTGTTGGCAGGCTAGAGTGCAGTGGCGCGATCTTGGCTCACTGCAACCTCTGTCTCCCAGGTTCAAGCGATCTCCTGCCTCAGCCTCCCAAGTAGCTGGGATTTTAGGCACGTGCCACCACACCCAGCTAATTTTTGTATTTTTAGTAGAGACAGAGTTTCACCATGTTGGCCAGGATGGTCTTGATCTCTTGACCTCATGATCCGCCCCCGCTTGGCCTCCTAAAGTGCTGGGATTATAGGCATGAGCCACTGCGCCTGGCCAACAATAACTTTTAATTGTTAAACAATTAACAATAATTCCTTAATATCATAATATCATCAAATATCTAGCCAGTGTTCACATTTCCTGGCTGTCTCATAAATATTTGCTTGTTTCTACAGTTTCTGTGCTTGAATCAAGGTTCACATACTGTGCTTGAGTATGTTTACGTCCCTTAATCTACAGGCACTCCTTTTTTCTTGCACTTTGTGGAAGAAACTATCATTTCGCAGGGTGCTGTGGCTCATGCCTGTAATCCCAGTACTTTGGGAGGCTGAGGTGGGCAGATCACTTAAGGCCAGGAATTCAAGACCAGCCTGGCTAACATTGTGAAACCCGCTCTCTACTAAAAATACAAAAATTGGCCGGTTGTGGTGGTGCACACCTGTAGCTCCAGCTACTCAGGAGGCTGAGGCAGGAGAATCGCTTGAACCTAGGATATGGAGGTTACAGTGAGCCGAAATAGTGCCACTGTGCTCCAGCCTGGGCAACAGACCAAAACTCCGTCTCAAACAAAAAAAAAACTGTATCATTTGTCTTATAGAATTTGTTGTATTCTGAACTTTGATTATCCTTTTGAGTCCCTATAATGTCAATTTATCACGTTTAGGCTCCCTCTCTTTTCCCTTTAGCTGCTAAGAAAAAATTTATGGAGAATGGTAGTAAAATCTAGGGACTTAATCAGATTACATGTGGTTTTTTTTCCAGCAAAAAGATTTTATTGTCAGTTTTGTATACTCTTACATGACATGATACACATAATAGCTACTTATCCCTCTTGTAATATTAAGATTGATCAGTGTGTTCAGATGTTGTCAGCCTGATCCATCTATTATAATGTTCCCCAATCAGTTTTCAGCAAGTGGTTTTAGCAGCCATTAATGATCATTGCTTGGATCCATTATTTCATTAGGGATTGCAGTATCATTTATTTCATCTTCATTTCCTAGCTAGAAATTTTTTAAAAGGAAGAACTTTTGCTTATCATCTATTGGTTACCTTGAAACACAGCTTTTTTCAGGAAAGGAAGGAGGTTTTATTTGTTTTTGCTTACCTGTTTTCAGGATAGTGAACATCCTCCAAACATTGTGTCCAGAATTGGTGGGTTCTTGGTCTCCCTGACTTCAAGAATGAAGCTGCAGACCCTTGCGGTGAGTGTTACAGCTCTTAAAGATGGTGTGTCCGGAGTTTGTTACTTCTGATGTTTGGACGTGTCCACAGTTTCTTCCTTCTGGTGGATTCGTGGTCTCGGTGGCTTCAGGAGTGAAGCTGCAGACCTTTATGGTGAGCATTGCAGCTCTCAAAGGCAGTGTGTCTGGAGTTGTTCTTTCCTTCCATCCGGAGTTGTTCCTCCCTCCCGGTGGGTTCATAGTCTCGTTGGCTTCAGGAGTGAACCTGCAGACCTTCAAGATGAGTGTTACAGCTCATAAAGGTAGCGCAGACCCAAACAGTGAGCAGCAGCAAGAGTTACTGCAAGGAGCAAAAGAACAAAGCTTCGACATTGCAGAAGGGGGACGCCAGCTGGTTGCTGCTGCTAGCTTGGGCAGCCTGCTTTTATTCCCTTATCTGACCCCACCCACATCCTGCTGATTGGTCCATTTTACAGAGAGATGATTGGTCCGTTTTACAGAGAGCTGTTTGGTCCATTTTGACAGGGTGCTGATTGGTGCATTTACAATCCCTGAGCTAGACACAGAGTGCTGATTGGTGCATTTACAATCCTCTAGCTAGACATAAAAGTTCTCCAAGTCCCCACTAGATTTAGACACAGAGCACTGATTGGTGCGTTTACAAACCTTGAGCTAGACACAGGGTGCTGATTTGTGCGTTTACAAACGTTGAGCTAGACACAGAGTGCTGATTGGTGTATTTACAAACCTTGAGCTAAACACAAAGTGCTGATTGGTGCATTTAAAATCCTCCAGCTAGACATAAAAGTTCTCCAAGTCCTCATCAGATTAGCTAGATACAGAGTGCTGATTGGTGCATCCATGAAACCCAAGCTAGACACAGAGTGCTGACTGGTGCATATGCAATCCTACAGCTAGACATAAAAGTTCTCCAAGTCCCCACTAGACTGAGGAGCCCAGCTGGCTTCACCTAGTGGATCCTACGGGCCAGGGCTGTTGGCGGAGCTGCTCACCAGTCCCACGCTGGGCGCCCGCACCCCTCAGCCCTTGGGCAGTTGATGGGATCTAGCGCCATGGAGCAGGGGGCAGTGCCCGCCATGGACACTCAGGCTGCACAGGAGCAGGAGCGGGAGGTGGGGGGGCTCGGGCATGGCAGGCTGTAGGTCCCGAGCCCTGTCCCACGGGGAGGCAGCTGAGACCCGGCAAGAACTCAAGTGTGGTGCCGGCGGGCCAGCAGTGCTGGAGGATCCAGCGCACCCTCCACAGCTGCTGGCCTGGGTTCTAAGCCACTCACTGCCCGGGACCGCTCTGAGTGCAGGGCCCACTGAGCCTGTGCCCAGCCAGAATTCACTGGCCCGCGAGCGCCACGTGCAGCCCCAGTTCCCGTGGGCGCCTCTCTCTCCACACCTCCCAGCAAGCAGAGGGAGCCAGCTCTGGCCTCGGCCAGCCCAGAGAGGGGCTCCCACAGTGCAGAGGCAGGCTGAAGGGCTCCTCAGGCGTGGCCAGAGCAGACACCAAGGCCGAGGAGACACCAAGAGCGAGCCAGGGCTGCTAGCACGTTGTCACCTCTCAATATGACAAGTGAGTTTTTGGGTTTTGGTTTTCTGTGTCCTTATGAGCATATTTTATGTGTCTTAATCCATTAAAGTTTGTTTTTGACTCAGATTTCTCACTTTTGCCACAGAGTCCTTTGGTTGTTAGAGATGAATGACCCACAACCACATAAGTGTTCACTTTCCCATATAGCTAAGAGCTACTTTCCAGAACTTAAAAAAGGAGTGGTCATGAGTTTCTTAAATCTGGTATCTGTAGACCAGAATTAGCATTACTAGAGTTTACAAGGACATTTCTTTCCACTGTGAAGTCTGACTGTATACAGATAGTTGGAATCATCTCAGGCTAGGGTATGTCATGTTTCCAGTACCTGATAAGCCCTCCCCAAAAAAATAATATCTGTACATTTCTGAACCCTCATAAAAAAGGAAGTAAATGTCTAAAATAAGCATAAACCCACAAGGATGAAAAATGCAAGCAAAGAGGACAAACAGAGACTGATGGTGAAGGGAAGCCGCAGAATCACAACCATGTACTGGTCCAGATTAACGCAGGAGGATGAGAAGTGACAGAAAATGACACATTTCCTAATGTTTGAACATGTTGAGAGAGATTTATCATTTAGTGAGACGTTTTGATGGTGAATTGGTAAATAGGTAAATAGAAAACCAAGCAAAATTTTTGTTTTAAGGTACTTATTAACTGTAGGAAAACCCAAAAAGTTGGCCAGGCATGGTGGCTCATGTCTGTAATTCTAGCACGTTAGGAAGTCGAGGTGGGCGAATTGCCTGAGGTCGGGAATTCAAGACCAGCCTGGCTAACATGGAGAAACCCCGTCTCTATTAAAAATATAAAAAATGTGCTGGGTGCGGTGGTGCACGCCTGTAATCCCAGCTACCCTGAAGGCTGAGGCAGGAGAATCACTTGAACCCGGGAGCCGGAGGTTGCGCTGAGCTGAGATCACGCCACTGCACTCCAGCCTGGGCTACAGAGCAAGACTTCATCCCAAAAAAAAAAAAAGAAAAGAAAAAAAAGAAAAACCGAAAAGTTACTCAAGAAGGAAAAAGGAAAAATCATAATACATTACCTGGTTCTGCTATGGAAAGCATTGACATAATCATAGCAATGTAAATACCTTATCATTAACCAAAAATGGTGTATAACTATGCTGAGGGCAGAGAGGAGAGGTAAAGTATATGTGTGTGTGTGTGTGTGTATACATGTAAAAAGTGTTGAATTTTTGTCTCCCATAAGTGTCCTTAAATTGTAAAACACAGAAACTTCAGAAATAGCAGGGCTGGGCACGGTGGCTCATGCCTGTAATCTCAGAACTTTGGGAGGCCCAGGTGGGTGGATCACCTGAGGTCAGGAGTTCAAGACCAGCCTGGCCAACATGCCGAAACCCCATCTCTACTAAAAATACTAAATACTAAAAAATAATAAAAATTAGCTGGGCGGGAATGGTGGTGGTCCCCTGTAATCCCAGCTGCTCAGCAGGATGAGGCAGGAGAATGGCTTGAACCAGGGAAGCGGAGGTTGCAGTGAGCTGAGACTACACCACTGCACTCCAGCCTGAGCAACAAGAGTGAGACTCTGTCTCAAAAAAGAAAAAGAAGATATTTTAAATTTTAAAAATCACACTTTTATGTGTCTCTAATTCAAATAATTCTGCTGCCAGGAAATTAATCGGTCATGATTTGGGGGTTCTCTCTCTCCCTAAGGCCATGCAAGAGTCCCAGATGTTCTCATGCATTCTTGAATATACAGGGCAGACCCTCTGGTCCCCAGTGCACATAGGTTCCCACACCTTGCCCAAGCCTGTAATCTCTTCAGTTCTTGGGCCAGACTTGCGGGGAGGAGTCTTTCACTGCTGCCCTCAAATCTTAGCATCCCCTAAAACCTCTCATCAGAAGGTTCTTGTTGCCTCTTGGGGCCCTACATGGAGTGGGACTTGCATTTCTCTGCTCATAGAACCTGAAAACATAGACACAGCTGCCTTTTCAGGTTGCAGTTACTGCTTTCCCAGCACTTTCTTCTCTCCACCCCCATACCTCTCCTCCACATCTGAGAAAATCAGGAAAATAGCTTCACTTAAAGAACCTTTGGAAACCCAGAGCTCGCCCCTCTTTACTGTAGGGGGCGTGGTGAGAGAAGGTGGCAAGGAGCAACTGGGGCCTGCCCTAGTCCTCTCCCACAATCTTTCATTCAAACAAGAGACGTCTAACCAATTTTATGTCATGTTCTACTTTAAAAAAGCTTCCCTGCTAGAAACCATTACTTCTTACTTGGCCCCTCATCCACTTGCCCATCCCCAAAACAAAATTCTGTAGCTGTAGCCAGATGGAGCCTACAGGCAGCCTTTTTTTTTTTTTTAAATTTGTACTATTTTACTTTGGTTGTACTTGTGTAATCTATGTATTGTTGCAATTTTTATTTTAATTTTGATTCTCTCCAATTACCCAGTTTCCCTCCTCGGCAAAGGAGTGTGACAGGTGGGTCTTTTGCCTCATCAAGAGCCAGTTCTAAAGTAGCAGCTCCAAAGAGGCATGTGCACATCTCAGGGGTACACAGGATGATCAACGGGGTGTGGGAAGAAGATATTAGGACTTCTATTCTCTTTTTTTTTTAGCTGGGTTCTCACTCTGTTGCCCAGTCTGGAGTGCAGTGGCCCATTCATTCCTCACTGCAGCCTCCAGCTCCTGGGCTCAAGCTATCCTCCCTCTTCACCCTCCTGAGTAGCTGGGATTACAGGTATGCGCCACCATCCCCAGCTTCATTCTTTTTGCTTTCTATTTTTGCATGCTTTCTCAAATGTATATATAGTATTTTTATAAACAAAAATTTGGCATATTTGGGAATGCATTCTAAAACTTTTTTTAAACTGATGAAGTATGTGATCCAATATATTTGAGACTTATGTTCTAGGGTAATGCTGTCCAATAGAAACATAATGTGAGCCACAAATGTGAGCTTCATGTGTAACTTTAAGTCTTCCATAGCCACAATTTTTTAAAAAAGTGAAATTAATTTTAATATTATATTTAATCCAGTATGTCCAAAATATTCTCATTTCAACAAGTAACCAACATCAAAATTATAAATGAAATATTTTTCATTTTTTCAACTAAGTCTTCAAAATATAGCATGTAGTTTACAGTGGCACCACATCTCAATTTGGACTGGCTACATTGCAAGTGCTCAATAGTAGTACATGTGGCTCATGGCCACCATGGTGGACAACACAGCTCCCAGGTATTAGGTCCTGGATATTAGCGGATATATGAGACAAGTGCTGCCTCTAGAACTGCTTCTGATGACAGACTTCTTGGGGTTGAGACATAACTGAACCTGCCTCATCTCCGCAGTACACCCAAGGCGGTAAGAAGTGAATTACAACTCATTAAACATCTACTTTTCAGTTAAGCACTTTTACGTCCATTTCATTTAATTTTCTAGCACCTACTTTGAGGTAGAGCTTATTAAACTATATCAAACATGAAGAAATGGAGTCATAGAACTAGTTAGAATCCCAGTCTTTTTTTTTTTTTTTCCTTTTTTTCAGTCATCTTTCCATCAGGCCAAAGAATCCTTCTCTTCCTCCAGAGCCCCGAACCACAAATTCTTCTGAACAACACTCATTGCCTCTTCTAAAAGCTACTGAGCTCATTTCACTTACTGTTTTGTAATGCTGTTACCTACTGAGGACGCTTTCATAGAGCAAGCGAGCAAAGTCTGTGCAGTCAGACCACAGGGCAGTCACGGTGCCCTCCTCCATCTCCCGAAAGGACAAAAAATGCATATTATACAGGCCACTCATACTCTCCAACCGTGATCTGTCTGATTTCCCAGCATGGAACTCTCCTGGTTGGGGCTGCTTTATGTGAAGTCAATCTGTAGTAGATTAATTAAACACTGTATTGATTTTGTATTCTCTGGGGCACTTCTAAAAGGGTTATATTCTTGAAGCCCCTTCTCTGAGTTAGTAGAACACTTCCCCTTTGCAAATGTGATACTTAGAATTTTATTACAGTCCTCCCACCCACCTCCACCCAGACATCACCCCCTCCCCGTCTTCGCGTGGCATAAAATCAAGTTCTGGCCCTTCCCAAAAGACAGTCATGGCAAGAAAAGAGGGAGGGAGTCCTGCTGGTTTTCAGGTCATGTTGATTTAACACTTCATGATTTATGCATTCTGGCTGTCTTGCTTGTAGATTTTCATTTTTACATCCTGCTAAATACCTTGCAGGGTGTTGTTTCTTTTAATTAGTTAATGTTTGTAAGGCACGTTACAGATGAAAGTGCTGTGTCAGTGCTAAATGTGAACATTGGGGTATCCTCAAGCTGTCCTTTGTCTGCCCAGGGGTTTTCTGTGTAACGCAAATTGTGAGAGAGATCTGCATTTGGAAAAAGGCTTGGCTGTTCTGTTTTAGACTGTAGGTCACTAAAATATACGTATTTGGGAATTAAAAATGGCAGTAAACACAGGACATTTTGCATTAGCACAGTTTTCTGACCCCGATGTAACAGTGCTTTCTCTACTTACTGGAAGTGTGATGATCTGATGCAGAGTGAGAAAAGAACATTCCCTACGAACTGGAATTGTGCGGTTTCTGTGGCAGAACCTTAACCTTCCTGATATGTAACAAATAATACATGGTTGGGTTTATGTTTTGTTTCGTCTGTTCAGTGAGTGGGTGACTGAAACAATTTAGCTGCTTTTCTACTGTGTCTGCGTAGGAAAATGGATTCATTTAAAATTACAGCACGTTAATTAAGTGTTCAGTAATATTTCACTAAGAAAAATGTTAAATACCAGTTTTATTTGTTTTTGCAACATATTCACTAAAACTGAGTTTGTCACATTTCTACGGGTGTAAAGATTCATGTTAGGCATGTTTATTAAGGTGTTTGATTTCATATGGACCATTTTTGGAAACACACAAAAAAATGTTTTCTTGTGGAAGGTTGGCTTTCCATTCTTTATTTTCTAATCATCAGCTTTTAATCTAGGTTGATATTTAAAAATAAGAAATCTGCATAAAGCCAAGCAGAGATAGTTGGAGACTTCTATTTTACATAACAGCAAGGGTTACAAAAAATGTGACTTTTTTGGTACCTTTCATTTCGTATATAAACAAAAAATAAGGTAAATTTGCAGCCTAAAACCCACTTGATAGTTTCTCTCAAATCCACAAAATGGCTGTCACCTGCAACAAATTTACAGTAACATTAATAAATGATATTTTGGCTGATCCAGAGTTTATTCTAAGACTGTAGCAAATTATCCCTTCCTCTTTTCATTGATTTTCAATGTAAGAAAATCCTCACTTTATTCTTAATAATCAACATTCCTAAATGCTCCAGCAGGATCCTCAGTCAATGTAAATTTACATAATTCATCTTCTTCCACTCAACTTGTTTTTCTATAATTAGTGCAGCTGTCACCAGGGAGCCACATTCTTGTGGGCAGGTAGCTATGGGTACAGAAAGCAGGCTTCAGTCAAACATTTCCTTTTAAACCATCCATTTGTTTTTTCTCCTCTTATTTCAAATAAGTCGAGTCCTGTAACGAAGAATTTGTTTCCTACCTAGCATATCCTTTTAAAATTCTATCATTCCATAACTTATAATTCCTTCTGCAGGTCCACTTAGCCAAAAGACATACGTCTTTTTTCTTTTTCTTTTTTTTTTTTTGAGACAGAGTCTTGCTCTGTCACCGAGGTTGGAGTGCGGTGGCACAATCTCGGCTCACTGCAACTTCCGCCTCCCGGGTTTGAGCAATTCTCATGCCTCAGCTTCCCAAATAGCTGGGACTACAGACACACACCACCACGCGTGGCTTTTTTTTTTTTTTTTAAGTACAGACGGGGTTTCTCCATGTTGCCCAGGCTGGTCTTGAACTCCTGAGCTCAGGCAATCCACCTGACTTGGCCTCCCAAAGTGCTAGGATTACAGGTGTGAGCCACCACACCCGGCAAGACATAAGTCTCTAAAGAATTTTTTGGTCAGTCCGACTTTTAGGCTGCATACATATTTCTCTTTATAGCTTTCATATTTTTATCAAAACAGATCTTCATTTCAAAATGTAGTTATAACACTTAAAAACATGGAAAGGCCGTATAAGCACAATGACAAAGCAAGCTTTGGAATGGTATAGGAAATATCTAGCTTTATCTTTTATTTGGAGTCTTTAAACTGCCTTTCTCATTGAACTACCTTTCTCCTTAGCGTTTAATGTAGTCTTTGAAAAGGATGGGGAAAACAAAACAAAACAAAACAAAAAAAACAGTGTTTTCCTGCTCTCACACAGTTAAAACACTCAACACAGAATACTTCCCCTCCGGTCACCAGAATGTGTGGGGATGTCCCCCTGTCGACAACCAAGCAATTCTCCAGTGGATAACAACTGAGTGTCCTACAATTTAACTCACTTCTAACAAACACTGTCTACCTGGTGATAGTGTCAGAGGCAGGTGAACCAGAACAACTCTATCTTAAATAGGAGCTGGGTAAAATAAGGCTGAAACCTACTGGGCTGCATTCCCAGACGGTTAAGGCATTCTAAGTCACAGGATGAGATAGGAGGTCAGCACACAATACAGGTCATAGAGACCTTGCTGATAAAAACAGGTTGCAGTAAAGGAGCCGGCCAAAACCCACCAAAACCAAAATGGTGATGACAGTGACCTCTGGTTGTCCTCATTGTTACACTCCCATCAGCGCCAGAACAGTTTACAAATGCCATGGCAACGTCAGGAAGTTACCCTATATGTTCTAAAAAGTGGAGACATGAATAATCCACCCCTTGTTTAACATATCATCAAAAAATAATTGTAAAAATAAACAAGCAGCAGCCCTCGGGGCTGTGGGGCTGCTCGGTCTATAGAGTAGCCTTTTTTGTTTTTTTGAGACAGAGTCTTGCTCTGTCGCCCAGGCTGGAGGGCAGTGGCGCAATCTCAGCTCACCGCAACCTCCGTCTACCGGGCTCAAGCAATTCTCCTGCCTCAGCTTCCCAAGTAGCTGGGATTACAGGTGTGTGCGACCGTGCCCAGCTAATTTTTGTATTTTTAGCAGAGCCAGGGTTTTATCATGTTGGCCAGGCTGGTCTCGAACTCCTGACCTCGGGTGATCCACCTGCCTCGGCCTCCCAAAGTGCTGGGATTACAGGCGTGAGCCACAGCGCCCAGCCTTAGAGTAGCCATTCTTTTATTCCTTTACTTTCTTAATAAACTTGCTTTCACTTCGCACTAGGGACTCACCCTGAATTCTTGTGCGAGATCCAAGAACTCTCTCGGGGTCTGGATTGGGACCCCATTCTTGTAACATATTTTTCTGTCCTGTAAGATATTTCTGGCGACTACAGAAGGGACTATAGTGCAGAAATCGCGACCCAACGGCTACCTTTGGGTAAGTGTTGGGGTCCTGTAACATCTTTCTCGCGAACCACAAAAGGGACCATACTGTAGAGACTCCCGACCCAAAGGAAAATCATCCGCGCTCACCAGTCGGCTGACTTTGGGTAAGTAGGGTGCATATACCCAGGTAAAGAATGGGATTGGGTGGAACGCGAGGTCAAGAGATTGAGACCATCCTGGCCAACGTGGTGAAACCCCGTCTCTACTAAAAATACAAAAAAGCCAGGTGTGGTGGCGGGCGCCTGTAGTCCCAGCTACTCGGGAGGCCGAGGCAGGAGAATCGCTTGAACCCGGGAGGTGGAGGTTGCAGTGAGCCAAGATCACACCACTGTACTCCAGCCTGGGCAACAGAGCAAGACTCCGTCTCAAAGAAAAAAAAAAAAAATGGGATTGGGTTAGAGGCCCAACTTAGGAGAGTTAGAGTCCCTTCTAAGATTTAAAGGGTTAGAGACCCCTCTAGGTAAAGTCCTTCTCGGCTAAGAACAGGTTCAGCACTATGGGATGTTAACTGCAATTCTCTTTGGATTAATCTGCCTTGCACTGTTTGCTGATGGCTGTGGGTGACAGGGTTAGGCCTGTACAGGATCGTGGGACATGGGAGCTTTTTCCTTCCTGAAAGGGGAAACTTGAGAGCTGGCGGGACTGCTGGGAAAAACCCCTTAACGACAGCAGCCGCAGCCACCTGAACTTTAAAGCGTCGCTGCAATGAGGGGGTCTTTCTCTGGCCTCCCTGATCATTTGGACTTCCCCACCCTGCTGCAGGCAATACTTTCCTTCTCTACTTTTCCTTTCCCTTTCTATCTTTTCTATTACTCAAGGCGACCATCTTGCCCAGAGACCACGTGTTGAAACTCCAAGTCAGAGGTTGGATCAAAGATGACGGGGCCCATCTGGGGGCAAATTTAAGCTTCGCCAGTTTGATATTGGGTGCTAAGCAGTGTGGCTAATGTCTATGTTTTTTGTTTGTTTGTTTGTCTAAGACGGAGTCTCCTGTGTTGCCCAGGCTGAAGTACAGTGGCGTGATCTCGGCTCACTGCAACCTCAGCCTCCCGGGTTCAAGCGATTCTCCTGCCTCTGCCTCCCGAATAGCTGGGACTACAGGTGTGTGCCACCACGCTCAGCTAATTTTTTATATTTTTAGTAGAGATGGCATTTCACCATGTTGGTCAGGATGGTCTCGATCTCTTGACCTCGTGATCCGCCCACCTCGGCCTCCCAAAGTGCTGGGATTACAGTCGTGAGCCACCGCGCCCTGCCATGTCTATGTTTTATCACATGTATTTTGCTCTGGCCAGAACAAAAACAAATAATTTTCCTTTATGATGCGGCTTGGCCCCCAGGACGATGGTGCCACAAGCCTGATCAGTAATGCCGCTTAGGGAAAGGGAACCCAGAAGCCTGGCATGCTGGCAAAAGGGTAAGAATTTCCTACCAGTCAGATTTCTGGCTTCTCTCTCTGTGAAAATGGTTCAATAAATGGAAAAATAAATAAATAAACAAATAAATCAGTGTTGATCTCCTCTGTAAAGTTTTAATTAATGTGAAAAAATTCTAAGGCTAATCTTAAACTGGTGTATTTCGTGCTGTAAATTTGTTTTTCTGTGTTGAGGGGTACTTTAGAGTAAAACATGGGCTTAGAACACCTGTAAGCCTGCTTTTCAAAACGACCCAGCAAGCTGGTCAGTAAGAAACTTGGCTGTAGGTCCCTGAAACAAACAAAAAAAACTGGATGAAGTCTCCACTTTGTTTTATGTTCTTGGGAGCGTGACCTTTTAACCATGTGGTGGTACTTTCTCTTGGTCTCTGCCTTCCAGGGAACAGGAATTTTAGGGTTCATGTCATAGTTAGCTCTAAAAATCATATTAGATAGTTAGAAGCCTCTGCAAGCTCAAAATTAACTACTCTAGGCTCCTTCTGAGAAAACACACACACAGAATGCTGCCCACTGTAGCTCAGTAACTAGGATCTTGCACTTTCACAGTTAGTGGTCCAGGTTCGTTTCCCCACCTAGGAAATAAGTCATTTCTGGTGTAATATCTGAGTGACCTTGTCTATTCTCTTCTCCGTGGACTGTCCTAAATTTTCCTTTCTCTAAGCGCCTAGAAGGTTACCTTTGGTAACGTTCAAAAGCTGGAAATTTTGGCCGCTTGGCATGGCTACAGTCGGGTAACAAGAGATCTGAAAAAATGTCTTTTTTTTTTTTAAAGAGCACTATGGTTGAAAGTCAGCTTAATTAAAAGTGGATAAACAAGCTCTAGATATATTTAAAAGGCCTTTATGTTTTTCTCTTCTTGGAACTTGCTTTTCTGGAAAAGTTTTTTTTTTTCTTCTCAGTCGACTGAATTATTTTTCTCCATTTTTTGTTTGTTTGTTTGTTTTGCCACTCTCAATGCATACATGAGGGGCCCTAAGGTAACTTCTGGTAGCCTGGGACTCCTTGGGAAAAACGGAGGAGGCGCCACAGACTCCATTTTGGGGAAAAAAAAAAACCTCTGTTTTCTTCATGAAACCCCAGGAATTAAAAGCAGACAGATCCCTCTAAAAAATCAAAGGCTCTGTTCTGTTTTGCATTGTGTTATCTAATGGTTTTGAGTTTTGGGGGTATCAGAAATTACTTCCCATTATGAAAAAGCTTTGGTGTTTTATAATACAATAACTAGGTAGGAAATACACTTTAAGGGATGGCTAATAATAGCTATCAAGGGATACTTGACTCTTTGCATACTTGAGTAAAAAAAGCATGCTCTTGGCCACCTAGAAGATAGGGAAACACCCCAACCCCACTGGGAAATAAAACTCCCATGAGGAATGGGCTGATTATAAAATGGGCTGATTGGCTTTGTGTTGCCTTGCAATGAAATGCAGAATAGAAGCACTGCACCGCCTGCTCCCGTAGTATTTCCTTCCTTTTGGGACTCCAGGAACCAGTATAAAATGGCACCCTTAACTGTGGGGATCTGTCTTTGCTTTCAGCTGCTTATTTGCTGCTTATTTGGCCTTAGAAACGCAAGCTTTCCTGGCCCTGTTCCTCCAAGGGCTCCGCCCTGAAGCCAGTAATCCAGTTAAAAAACTGGCAAATAGAAAAATCTTACAAGTGCTAAATCTTCTGTCTGTGTATTTATATGTGTTGTATGTTTATATGTAAAAGAGCTCTAATTAATTGGCTTAAAAACTAAGCGCTTAAATAAAATATTTTGTCAGAAAAATAGACACTTTAACGCCTTTTTGTTCACATGACTTCAGTAATCTTTTAAAAATAAAGACAGTTTTAAAGGTTATTGGTAAAATAAAATGTCTTAAAAATGTAAACATTTAGGCCAGGGCGATGGTGCATGCCTGTAATTTCAGCACTTTGGGAGGCCAAGGCAGGCGGATTGTCTGAGGTCAGGAGTTCGAGACCAGCCTGACCAACATGGTGAAACCCCATCTCTACTAAAAATACAAAAATTAGCTGGGTGCAGTGGTGGACACCTATAATCCCAGCTACTTGGTAGGCTGAGACAGGAGAATCACTTGAGCCCAGGAGGCAGAGGTTGCAGTGAGCCAAGATGGTGCCACTGCACTCCAGCCTGGATGACAGAGCAAGACTCCATCTCAAAATAAAATAAAACAAAATAAAATAAAATATTCCTTCTATGGAACAAATTTCCATTAAAGCCCATTTCTTAAAAGCCTATATAAAATATACTCTTGCTGCACTTTATACAAATAATCAAGTCAAGTATAATAAAGCAAATCAGTCTTACTATAATTTGTCTTTAATAAAAATGGAAAACTGGAAAGAAAAATATTATGTTTCAAAAACTATGGTATACTTGTTATTAAATTCTAGTCTCATTAGTTATTTTTCAGTTTGTTTCTGCAATTTAGGCTAACCCTGCTTATTCCTGTAAACCAACCAATGATCTCTAATTGTTGCTCAAAAAAAAAAAAAAAAACCCAAAAGAGATGGGTAATGTAAAAATCTGGATCAATATTCTAATTCTGGGCACATTACAATCAGTTAACAACCCCATACCAGCTTAGTTCCAACAGTTGCCCAGTTCATAAAAAGCCTCCTAATTTGTTTACTTGGAATAATTTTACTTATTTTGCTTTACTCTTGTGGAATATGTTGCTGTTATACTTTTTGTGTAGGAATACAGAACAAGCTTACTAAATATTTTCTTAAACACTTATTAATTGTTTGGGAGGCACTTTAGGAGGCTGAGGCGGGCAGATCACTTGAGGTCAACAGTTCAAGACCAGCCTGGCCAACGTAGCGAAACCCCATCTCTACTAAAAAAACACAAAAATTAGCCGGGCGTGGTGGTGCGCACCTGTAATCCCAGCTACTTGGGAGGCTGAGGTAGGAGAATCGCTTGAACCTGGGAATGGAGGTTGCAGTGAGCTGAGACTGCGCCACTGCAGTCTAGCCTGGGCGACAGAGCAAGACTCCATCTCAAAAAAAAAGCATAATACTTTAAAAACTAAAGCCAAAAATATTTTGTTGCTTCTGCACTTCTGCCTTAAAACATTACTGGTTCCTTAGCCTTCACCCAGCAGGAGCAGTGAAAGTTTCCTTGCCAACCTCTACTGATGGTGGAAACATGAGCCAGTGGGAGCTCTCTCCTTTCAAAGTACAGAGCTAAGTCTATCCACTCATTTATTTATTTATTTTATAAATATTTCTGGAGGGTCTGTGTGCCAAGCATTGTTCTTATGCTGAGACTCCAAAAGTAAATGAAATTGACATGGCCCCTGTCCTTGAGGGACATACAGATTGCTGGAAATGACAGATGACAATGAAATAAACCAGCAAATATATACACACACACACACACACACACACACACACACACACACACACACACTGTGAGAGATGCTAGGAGGAAGAAGCGCTATGAAGGGTCATTGATAGAGAATAGCAGAGGGAACCACTAGATAAGATGGCCTTGAGTGCACGTTTCTGGGGAAGTGACACAAACCTGAAGGCTATAAAGGGAAAGAGGGAAGGAGCGTATTCAGGTATGGGGACAACATGAGTTAAGATCCTTAGGTGGAAACAAGCGTGGTAGGACACACTAAGAAGAAGGAAGGGATGGGATTTGGTGTTTGATTGCAGTCAGATCCTTGGCCTATTTAGACACTGAAGTTATCAAGGATGGCAGGCCTTGGGGTAGAGCAATCAGTGACCCAGGTGCCAAACCTTCCTCAGATGAAATTTGATAAGCAGCAATGTGGCATATGGCAAAGAGACACAGCCACGTAGTGTAAACCCCAAAGACGTAGGTTTTTTTACACATGATGGAGGAGTAATAGCACACAAGCAGCATGAAGGAGCCAGAACGCGGAACTCAGGGAAACAGCAAGAGAATACGCAGCCTCCTCTTGAGAGAGGGTGGCAAGAAAAGCAATGTCGTCAGGATAGTCAGTAGGGGAAAAGTGCGATGAAAAAGCTGAGAACATAGATGCTCATTTACTCCTTAAGAGGGTTCCAGTGTGCACAGGAGAAAGGAGGGGAGGACAAAGGGAAGGTTGAGTTTGGTAAGGGCAAGAACAGAGCAGGATGGGAGGGAGGCTGGGTTACTGGTGGCACATCTTGGATGGTCACCATAGATAACTTTCCAAGATACTCAAGAGATCTAACCCCAGCAGTCATCTAGTGGATTAGAGGCACCCTCCCTCCTTCCCTAGAAATCAGCAGCCTCCTGTACTTTTTTTATCCAAGGGAGTCATAGTCAACTGAGGAGGCCAGCAACAGTACTATTTTGTTGGACAGGCTCACATCCCATGATGGCAGTAGGAGTCATTTATGATGGGCTACCACACAGTTCTGAGAATTTCAAAGAAAGGGATCTTGGGCTGCCTGAGAAAGTGTATTTCATAGGTACATGACATTGGAGGCTCAAACCATTGAAAGATAGAGCACAACATTATGGAAAAAGCCTGGCAGGGTTGAGTCAATGCAGTTTCAGAGAAGGAAGTAAGGCCTTAAACAGATACCCAGAGATGGCCATCAAGAAGTAAGCAAGACACTGACAAACAGTGCACTAGTTGTGTGTGTGTACTTTCTCCCAGTGAGACTGATATTTTATTTTATTTTTATTTTTATTATTTTTTTCAATTTTTGAGATAGAGTCTCACTCTATCGCCCAGGCTGGAATGCAGTGATGTGATCTCAGCCCACTGCAACCTACACCTCCCAGGTTCAAGCAATTCTCCTGCCTCAACCTCCTGGGTAGCTAGGATTACAGGCATACACTACCAAGCTCGGCTAATTTTTTTTTTTTTTTTTTTTTTTTTAGTAGAGACGGGGTTTCACTATGTTGGCCAGGCTGGTCTCAAACTCCTGACCTCAGGTGATTTGCCTGCCTCAGCCTCCCAAAGTGCTGAGATTACAGGCGTGAGCCACTGCACCTGGCCTGAAACTGATATTTTAGTGCAAATTTTGTATTTGTTTTCTTGAGAGGCAATGGCGTACTGGAGCCATACGGACCATGAATAAGCTACCTAACTTCCTTACATCTATTTCCCCCTCCATCTATTGAATGGGTATAATAGCACATATTCGTACAGGCTGGTGGCTCTCAAAACTTAATCTGAGGCTGACCTGAGATGCTAGTCCCAGATCCTACCTCCCAGAGATTTCAGTTCAGTAGTTCTGGGGTGGGAAACACTGTCAGAGGACTGTTTGAATTAAATGAGACATGTACAAAATGTTTAACACATGTCTGGACAAGGTCAGCAATTATAACCCATAAATAATATTTCCATTTACTGGACCTAACATGAGGAGTAACTTCTTTTGGGAAAGTTAACTTACTTTGGCATCACTGAAAATCAAACATAAGTTAAAAACACCAGGCCCCATTACGGTTATAAGGTACCAGCTTCCCCCTCTATTTATTATTATTATTATTATTATTATTATTATTATTATTTTGAGACAGAGTCTCACTCTGCCACCCAGGGTGGAGTGCAGTAGCTCAATCTCGGCTCACTGCAACCTCCACCTCCCGGGTTCAAGCGATTCTCCTGCCTCAGCCTCCCAAGTAGCTGGGACTACCGGCTAATTTTTATATTTTTAGTAGAGATGGGTTTCACCATGTTGGCCAGGCTGTTCCCAAACTCCTGACCTCAGGTGATCCACCTGCCTCAGCCTCCCAAAGTTCTGGGATTACAAGCGTGAGCCACCGTGCCCAGCCTCCCCCTCTATTTAAAAATTTTTTTTAATTCTGTTTTTTTTGAGACAGTCTCCCTCTGTTGCCCAGCCCGGAGTGCAGTGGCATGATCTCGGCTCACTGCAACCTCTGCCTCCCGGGTTCAAGTGATTCTCCTGTCTCAGCCTCCCTAGTAGCTGGGATTATAAGCGTGTGCCACCAAGCCCAGCTAATTTTTTATATTTTTAGTAGAGATGGGGTTTTGCCATGTTGGTCAGGCTGGTCTCAAACTCCTGACCTCAGGAGTGATCTGCCTGCCCCGGCCTCCCAAAGTGCTGGGATTCCAGGTGTGAGCTACCGCGCCCAGCCTAAAAATTCTTGTACTTTGTGATTGACAGATTTCATACTTCCTGATTACTCTTACTACCAAGTTAAAATGAGCAGATTATTATTATTATTATTATTATTTTGAGGCTGGAGTGCAATAGTGCAATATCTGCTCACCACAACCTCTGTGTCCTGGGTTCAAGCTATTCTCCTGCCTCAGCCTCCCGAGTAGCTGGGATTACAGGCATGTGCCACCATGCCCAGCTAATTTTGTATTTTTAGTAAAGACGGGGTTTCTCCATGTTGGCGAGGCAGGTCTGGAACTCCCGACCTCAGGTGATCCGCCTGCCTCAGTCTCCCAAAGTGCTGGGATTACAGCCATGAGTCACCACACCTGGCTAAAATGAGCAGATTATAAAGTGTTGTCAATAACACAACAAATCTAAAAAGTTGTTGATGAAAAAAATCTGTGGAGAAGATCTGAGGTTGTTTAATGCAACTTACTGCACATTGTACAGTTATTTTGGGCAATGAGGTAAATAACTGCCTGGAATTGAGGTATGGCAAAAATTAATTTTCAATAGGATTAAAAGATAAATGTCTTTCCTTGGGAAAAGACATTTCAAATATTTACCTCCAGTACATAAGTGTTTAGTGGGCAGGGCGTGGTGGCTCATCCCTGTAATCCTAGCACTTTGGGAGGCTGAGGAAGGAGGATCGCCTGAGGCCAGGAGTTCAAGACCTTCCTGGCCAACATAGACCCCATCTCTATTTTTTTTTTCCAAAAAGTAGTGTTTGCGAAATAGCAACATAATCAAAACACCACTGAAATCATGTTTCTAATTGACAATTTGAATGTCTGTAAATATCCATGGATTAAAATTTGTGAGTAACACTATTTTTAAAAAGTTTTTCTTTGCATATGAATGCCAGGTCATAGTAAATGACACTATTGTAATGCCATGCAACATTTGATATAGAAAGTTCACAACTGGCCAGGTGCGGTGGCTCACGCCTGTAATCCCAGCACTTTGGGAGGCCGAGGCGGACGGATCATGAGGTTAGGAGATAGAGACCATCCTGGCTAACACGTTGAAACCCCATCTCTACTAAAAAAAAAATACAAAAAAATTAGCCAGGCGTGGTGGTGGGAGCCTGTAGTCCCAGCTACTCGGGAGGCTGAGGCAGGAGAATGGTGTGAACCTGGGAGGCAGAGGTTGCAGTAAGCCGAGATCGCACCACTGTACTCTGGAGACAGAGCGAGACTTCGTCTCAAAAAATAAAAAAAATAAAAAAAGTTTACAACTGAAGAATGTGGATAATTTCCTGGATTTTGTTTTAATTGAATTCCTTTGTGTCTTAATGACCAAAAGCAGCCCTGGTTTTATTTTCAACTGAAAGTATTCTTCACAGATGAAACATGACACAATTAGACTCTTGCTTGATGAATCTCCAGTGCCTGGCACTTAACAGGCCCTATTTGTGTTTAATTTATATGGAAGTTCTAACATCCAGAATGGTTAAAGTGGGCAGAGCAATTCTAGTACAAAACCTTCCAGGTTCCCTGATAACATATTAGAGCGTTCTGAATAACAGTTCAAAGGGTATATTGACTTCTTTTTTTTTTTTTTTTTTTGAGACGGAGTTTCGCCCTCTCGCCCAGTTTGGAGTGCAGTGGTGCAATCTCAGCTTATTGCAACCTCTATCTCCCCAGTTCAAGCGATTCTCCTGCCTCGGCCTCCCAAGCAGCTGGGATAAAAGGCATGCACCACCACACCCGGATAGTTTTTGTATTTTTGTAGAGACGAGGTTTAACCACGTTAGCCAGGCTGGTCTCAAACCCCTGACCTCAAGGAATCCGCCAGCCTCGGCCTCCCAAAGGGCTGGGATTACAGGCGTGAGCCACCGCGCCCGGCCGGTATATTGACTTTTAATAGTTCCGTAAAATTAAAATACACATGATCAGCACTGATAAAATCCTGGAACCTCTAGGTAACCGGCCTGTAGTGAATACACTGGCTCCTCCAGAGGGCTATGGTGCTGGTAACTCTGACCTTCATTATAGCAAGAGACTGGCCCCTGGTGGTGGTGAAGCAGATAGAATCAGTATTCTGCCAACCAGGCACACTGCAGTCCACCAGGCCTACCCCGCTGCCTTACCACGTACTCCCCACTATTGGGGGAGAACATTCATTTTTATTTTGATCATGGGAAATATCTTCTAAGTAAAGGAATAACATACACACAGGCCTTTTTTTTAAACTTTAAGCCAACTTTTCTGAAATGCATTTATTCCGTCTGTCACAAAAAATTATTTAACATTTTCCCAAATCCTACAGAATCAGCATAGTGCTAGACACATTATAAGGCCCTCAATAAATACATAAATTAAAATTTAAAACATAAAATAATCTAGGAAGATAGCAAGTCTTTAGCATGCTGATTCAAATTTCCCTGTTAGAAAATGAATACTTTCTAACTGGATAAACTTGAGCCAAACTGTACATAAATGCATGTTCTTTCATGATCTTTAAATTGAAAAATCTGAGCTGGGTGCGGGAGCTCACACCTGTAATCCCAGCACTTTGGGAGGCCGAGGCGGTGGATCACTTGAGGTCAGGAATTCAAGACCAGCCTGGCCAACATGGTAAAATCCCGTCTCTACTAAAAACACAAAAATTAGGCGGGGGTGGTAGCACACTCCTGTAATCCCAGCTACTCGGGAGGCTGAAGCATGAGAATCACCTGAACCTGGGAGGCGGAGGTTGCAGTGAGCTGAGATCGTACCACTGCACTCCAGCTTGGGTGACAGAGCAAGACTACTGTCTCAAAAAAAAAAAAAAAAGAAAAAAAAAAAAAGAAAAAAGAAAAAGAAAAAGAAAAAATCTGGCTGTTTAAATAAAAATCTACTGCCTCAAAAATTTTTTTTCTTAAAAATTTTCTGTAAAAGGCCGTAAAATGTGAGCTAAATTTCTGTATTTTCTGTATTTAAGTTCCTTTGCATGTTTTTATTCCTAAATATATTATGAATAATGTAAAAATCATCAAGTGTAGCCACCCACATTGCAGATAGTTTATCTCATGCAAGTTTTAAATCTGGTTATGTGGCACTACCTCTAGAAACCACCCAGCACTTCCCTTTTATGGAAAAAACAAAGCATCTAAATTTTCAAAAATTTTGCTAGAGCGTTTCAACAGGCTCTTTCTTAAACAATTGGAATTTGCTTCTGACCAGCTAAATTGTTGATGAAAACTTAACCCTCTCAAGTCTAGTGAATCCATCTGGCATGGGCTTTCATTTTCAGATATCTTGTAAAAGATCACATTAAACAGCCACTAATTCTTAGGTACTTATAATTTGTTTATCCATACAAATACTAAAAATAGTAATTGGAGTAAAAATAAAATGTCAACACCAGTAAGGCACAAGTTACATGAAAGTGAATCGCACTGCCACAAAAATCACTCTTAAATTCTGAGCTGGATTCATTTTAATTATAAATTTCAGAGATGGACTGTAAAAGATCTAATCTAAGCAGAAGCAGCTGACAATCTGCTCTCCCATTCCCAGGCAAAATCCAATTCATATTTCTCAGCACAAAAGCCAAAAACAATCTCATAGTGTGTATGTTAAGAGATTGATCTAAAGATTCTATTCTTATTGTGTATATATAAACCCAGAAAGCTGTGGAATCTACCATAAACCTGAAAAATGTCCAGCATTAATTACAAAAGAATGTTAAATAAAATTCCTATAAGTTTCATTAGTGAACCATCATGATTACATAATGTATATTTTCATGCATTTATTTGGCTTTTGTCACTGGACTATTCATTGTGGAGATGAACATCTCAGTATGTCTGTTTTCTACGTTTAACATCAAGGGCAGAGGTTGTTTTTATTAGCCTTATTTAGCATCGTGCACAGTAAATTCCAGTATATTCTGGAATAAGCTAGGGATATAAACTATTCAGATTTTTATTTTTTGAGACAAGTGTCTTGCTTTGTCACCCAGACTCGAGGGCTCACTGCAGCCTCACCCTCCAGGGCTGACGCAATCCTCCCACCTCAGCCTCCCGAGCAGCTGGGATGACAGGAATATGCCACCACGCCCAGCAAATTGTAGAGACGGTTGTTTCACTATGTTGCCCAGGCTGGTCTCGAACTCCTGGTCTCAAGCAATCCACCCGCTTTGGCCTCCCAAAGTGCTGGGATTACAGGCGTCATCCACTGCACCCAGCCATCTGGTTCTTAAGTGATCCTTAAGTCCTAGAGTAAACAAGAGCAAATCTAGGAAAGGAGACCTTCAGATAGACCAAATGACTCATTGTTAGCCATTGTCCACAAAGCAAGCTGTTGAATTTCAAGGACTGGAGATTGGTTGTACCTTTCGGGGAGAAACTGGTTATCCCAGTGATGGAATGCCTTAATGAAAAATTTCCCTAAAGCTTCAAGTTCCTCTGTGGAGTCTGTTTTAGGATTTACTCACTCACAGAAAACCACCAAATTTATGATGTGATACAGGGAATAGCCTGGAAAGTACTTTCTTAATACTGCCTAGAACTTCATTTTAAGCAAGAGTTGAAATTAGGATAAAATACTTATCCTATCTGGGAAGGCGGGGTGCGGTGGCTCATGCCTGTAATCAAGAAAAGAAGTAGAGATGGGGCATGGTGGCTCAAGCCTGTAATCCCAGTGCTTTGAGAGGCTCAGGCAGAAAGATGGAGGAGTTCAAGGCCAGCTTGGACAACAGTGAGATCCTGCCTCTACCAAAAAAAAAAAAAAAAAAAAAAAGACAGAAAAGAAAAAAGAAAGGCACTCACACTGTTTATATAAACACTAGCTACAATATGGACACTAGTTACAATTGAAGAAGAAATATTCGATTTTAGATTACTGTAAAGCATGAAGAGATAATCTGTTCTGAATCTTTAAATTTGCTTCGGTTTTATTTATTACTTATTTATTTATTGAGACAGTCTTGCTCTGTCACCCAGGTTGGAGTGCAGTGGCGCGATCTCGGATCACTGCAAGCTCTGCCTCCCAGGTTCACGCCATTCTCCTGCCACAGTCTCCCCAGCAGCTGGGACAACAGGCGCACACCGCCACACCCGGCTAATTTTTTTGTATTTTTAGTAGAGACAGGGTTTCACTGTGTTAGCCAGAATGGTCTTGATCTCCTGACCTCCTGATCCACCCGCCTCGGCTTCCCAAAGTGCTGGGATTACAGGCGTCAGCCAGCGCGCCCACTATTTATTTTTTGAGAGTTTCACTCTTGTTGCCCAGGCTGGAGTGCAGCGGCGCGATCTCGGCTCACTGCAATCTTTGCCTCCCAGGTTCAAGCTTCTCTTGCCTCAGCCTCCTGAGTAGCTGGGATTACAGGTGCCCACCTAATTTTTTGTATTTTTAGTAGAGACGGGGTTTCATCATGTTGACCAGGCTGGTCTCGAACTCCTGACCTCAGGTGATCCACCCGCCTCGGCCTCCCAAAGTGTAGGGATTACAGGCGTCAGCCACTGTGTCCAGCCTTGCTTCAGTTTTAAAACCAGTTAAAATATTCTATGATCAGCTGATGTCTTACTAATTTGTTTTCCAATTAAAAGAGATGAATGGAAAGATGAGTTAAAAATATATATAGTGGAGAGGCTTGGGTGTGGTGGTGGAAGGCCAAATTGGGTGGATCACTTGAGCCCAGGAGTTTGAGACCAGCCTTGGCAACATAGCGAGACCTCATCTCTACCAAAAAAAAAAGTAGCCATGTGTCTGTGGTGTATGCCTGTAGTCCCAGCTACTCCAAGCTGGAGATCCCATGAGCCTATGAGTTCAAGGTTATTAGTGAGCTATGACCATGCCACTGCACTCTAGCCTGGGTGACTGAGTGAGACCCTGTTGCTAAAATAAATAAAACAATGGAGAATATTTTAATTCCTAATTTTTAATAATATCTACATTAATAAATATAACATTAAATATTTTTTGAGAGACAGGGTCTCACTTTGTTGCCCAAGCTGGAGTGCAGTGGCATGATCATAGTTCACTGCAGCCACAACCTCCTGGGCTCAAGCAGTCTTCCCACCTCAGCCTCCTGGGACTATAGGCACTTTGCCGGCATGCCTGGCTAATTTCTTATTTTTCTGTATGTAGAGATGGGGTCTCACTATATTGCCCAGGCTGAACTCAAACTCCTAGGGTCAAGTGATCCTCCCACCTCAGTCTCCCAAAGTGCTGTGTGAGCCACTATGTCCAGCTAAATGTAACATTATTAAATGTAAATACGACAGCATCAGTTCTACCAGAATGGTGCTTTAAGTACAGCAAAATTCCAAACTCTGAAATTTTCACTTTTTCTTGAACAAATTTTGATGCATCTTTGTTCTTATACAAATTTCTGACATACTACATATGAAAAATGATCCACTCTCAATGGGTATTATACATTTTATTTAAAGACTTCAAAGTAAAAAAAAAAAAAAAAGGTACAGAAATAGATTACATTATGATGACCACAGTAGTATTCTACATGACAAAAATAAAAACAGATTTAAGTAAATGTACCGGCACTGAACAAGCATTTACTTAACATCCAATCCAGGCTGCATATGCACAAAATGATCTGACCACATGCTTATGCAAAATAAAGTTTTTCTTAGAAAGCCAAAATTCCAACCATTCTGACTGTCCGCTGCCTATTCCCCTGTTGAGTATTTTGAGCGAACTTCTATAGAATATAAGAACAATTGGCATGGCACTTAAAGACTGCAAAAAACAGAACACAATTAAAAACATTTATAATGCATTTCTGTATAAAATACACACCGTAAATCTTATTAGTTAAAAAAAGATTTAAAAACAAAAGACCACCCTGAATAATGGTTAAAACCTCATCATAGAAAAATGCTCATCATTTTGTACACTGAAAGAAACTACTGAGAGGTTTTTTGGGGGGCTGGTGGGAAGGTAGATACCTAACTTAAAGATTCATTCAAAATTTGCTTTAAATTGTGGGTAATAACTCACTGCTTACCCCTTCTCAAAATGTTTTATCATGAATACTCTAATATTTAACCACAGGACAAACATAAAGAATAACCTGAAGAAGGTATTTCTCAAAGTGAGGTCGAAGGCCCCAAAAGAAGTCTAAGGTGGGCTCACTAGTGTGCATTTTAAACCAACTTCCTAGGTGATTATTTCACATTCCAAAATCTGAGAACTAATGCCCTATGGGAAACAGCACCACTTAAAAGCAAGGCCATAAACATATTTCTGACATGAGATACAGAATTCTAAGTTTATGATTTGAAGTGAATACTGCTTTTTGTTTTAAAACAAGTTTCAGGTGTTAAGAGAAACATATTAAATAAACATGTGGATGTATATAAACATTTTCCTTTGACGTTTTCATTGCTTTCAGACTTATGTTATTTGAAGGAAAGAGAGTATATAGCTAGAAACTTTGGAAAAATGACATTTCCAATGAAATGCAGCATCCACCCCTCCAAAAAAAGATAATTTATTAAATGCCTACAAATTTTAAAACATTTGAAATTTAAACTAGATAACTTTCCTAAAATTTTTACTAAGATTAAAAAATTTTAAGTAATTTAGATAATCATGTTTACTTTTTAAGTCCCTTTTCATTAAAAATATATTTAAAATAAACAACAGAAGGATGCTATATTTGGCACCCCTTTAAATAATAAGCTGCTGAACACTAATATCCATAAAAAATAATCCGAGGAACTCTGCCTCTGAAATGTATTCTACTATGTATTACATGTGTTATCTAGTTAATAAAAACTCACTGAAAGAGCTGATACTGTGATGTGTGTGAGTGTATGTGTGTGTCCTGAACATTTATTCATGCCTACTTTATTTTTCTGATTTCACTAAAGGGTCCAATCATATAGATAATGTGGTTTAGGGGAAGAAATGAGCATAATTAAGATACCCTACTTAAAAAATAAATACTTTTCCTGTATGCTAAATTATAAGGAAAAAATATTATACATTCTGCCTCCACTGAATACATGGAATGCTTTTACAAGTTTGGTAACAATAATGAGTGCCTCATTTGAATCAAGTCACAAAAAGCAACTGTGGGGATTCACTCTCCAATAGGAAATAAAAATATTACCAGTGTACTTTTCTGTATCTATTTTAAATTTCTGGTTTTTTTCCTTTCTATACACTGAGTAATTTTCCATTCAACTGCATCCTTGGTCTTTTGCAGTGTATATATTAACACTGCAGTTAAAGTTTCCAATAAAGGGAAAGGCTCAGGAGCTACCCTGTTAATATACTTAAAAAGAAAAACCACTTGTGCCAGTTTTGCAAAAATAGTTAATGATTTGGAATCTGATTCATAATAAAAAGTGTCTTTTTTAACTCAAGAAGAATTTCCCAATTTGGTTTTTGTTTGAGACCGAGTCTCACTCACTGTTGCCCAGGCTAATCTTGGCTCACTGCCAACTCCATCTCCTGGGTTCAAGCGATTCTCCTGTTTCAGCCTCCCGAGTAGCTGGGATTACAGGTATGTGCCACCATGCCCAGCTAATTTTTGTATTTTTAGTAGAGACAGGATTTCACCATGTTGACCAGGCCAATCTCAAACTCCTGACCTCAAGTGATCTGCCCGCCTCAACCTCCCAAAGTACTGGGATCACAGGCATTGAGTCACTGCACCCAGCCGAATTTCCCAATTCTAAGCAAGCAGCATCTTCTATTACCAATTTAATAACTGCTGCCTTAAAAAAGATCAATAATTTATTTATCCAAGGCAATAAAATTTACACCTGAATTTTTAAACATAAAGAACTCCAAAACTAATAGGTAATATAAAAAGTTGTTGCATTTTATATTAATCTTTTATTTCAAAATTAAACCCTGAAATGATTTAACACAGAATGACAAAAATTATGGGAGGTTTATGATGTAATCCCACTATGTGCCTTAATGCAACAGATACTTTTTTAATGCAGTGTTTTTTTTTTTTTTAAACAAAAAAGATAACTTCATTACTCATCTGTAGGCCTTTTAAAAACTGAAAAACCAGTTCAACTAAATTTTGACATGATTGTCTGGAAGCTAGTAGTATTAATTTTTTTTTCATAGTAAAACAGATGTAATAATTGATTCATATAGTCTACAAGAGAAGATATTGGGTGTTTTTTTGTAGGTGGCAAATATAAAATGGTTAATTGTATCCAGGCTTGCAGCAAGTTTATCCATGCATTAAATGGCAACATGAGTAGAATACATGGTTGAAAAATGAGGATCAGACACATTCTTCTGCAGACATCAAAAGAGGATTGATATACTCAAAACCTTCAAATTCAGACTGATCAATCTTCCTCACAATGTCACTGTTGAAAGAAAAATAAATTTATTTTCATCATAATCAAGATTTCTTCAACCTTTAAATGGTAAAATAAGATTAAAAATCAAGTAATTAGGCTAATTGTACTGAAAGGAAATCTATAAATTTTTAGATTAATCCCCCAGATTTTCTAGACGAATCAAGAATGGAGTACTGAAAATTTAAAAAACCCCGATAATCCCACAAGCAAGTTTAGAGCCAAAAAGGAGTTCAAAACTGAGGACTGCGAATAAAAAAGACACCAGTTGTCACCATTCCAGTTAATCTTAACTTTTGACCAGAACAACATTCCTAGTTACAGGTGAACATCCAGGTTTGAATTAGCATTCAATTTAGTAGTCACCTCAACAGCCAGATGTTAGATAGTGTAGCCCAGAAGAAGTTAGCCAAAAGGAAAAGGCAATAGGAACAAGTACACTGAGAGACCTGGAATGAGGAGAGAACACCGCAGGGAGATCATGGGTCACAGAGAGGGGAGAGGTTGGCATTTTGTTACACTGGGCTTCTACTTTAATATACAGTGAGTAGTGCTATCAAATATTTAATACATAAATGTATTATGCCATACTAAGAAGCACAAAGTTACAGAGGATACAGTCCCTTCCTTCAAGGAAGGGAGGTAATTCCTACTGGAAGAGAAAGCAGTACTTGTTAAATTTTATACACAATAAGCTAAGTCCTGTTCTAACCATGGTTCTAAAGAAAGGTGTGACTTCTAGTTGGAGAAATCAAGGAAGGCAGTATTCATTCTGCAAACACTTAATGAATGGAATGATGAAAGACTGTGGTAGGTCTTGGGAAATGCAAGTAATTAGGGTGGAGCACAGGAATAGAAGTGTGTTAGATGATGCTGAAGAAAAATAATGGCTAAATCAAAGAGGCCAGTGATGTTTACACTAAGGAGTTTCACCTTGATCCATCAAAGATCTGGTTGCATCTGAGGTGGCTCTGAAAGATGGGAAAATTTCAATAGGTAAAAATGAAGGCGGGATACACAGGAATGAACAGGCAGAAGCAGAGACAATAATACTACTAGGGAATGGTGAGTAGCTAAGACTGATCAGAACACTGTTTGTATTATGGTGAGAGGTATCGCTAGAAAGTCAGGCTGGAGCAGATGTGGGGAGGCCTTAAATGCTAGCCAAGAGGATAGATGTTACCTGATAGGCAATGAAGGAGTTACTGAAGGTTTCTAATTAAAGGGGTTCAAGAATTGGAGTGGTACTTCACAAGGCATACAGAATAGGTTGCAAAGTGAAGGAGTAAAGATCAATTAGGAGGCTGATACAATACTCTGGGTATGACTTGAATGAGGCCTGAACTAGGGTGTGTCAACGGGAAGAGAAAAGAAAGATCTGATGTAAATGATGAAATAATGAAAACACAGACAAAGACTTGGCAGCTGCAGGTATTATGTAATCTGTTAAGAAAAAGGAGGAGTCCACAATCACTGACATCTGGAATCTGAACAACAGGGACACACCGTGAGCAGAATTAGGTAACTAAAAAAAAAGGAACTGATTGAGAACAATAGAAAGAGATCATAAAGGGTCATTACTTTCATTTTAGACTTCATATATTTGAGCTGCTTGGCTGACAAACTGGGGGCCGTGTTAAACAGAAATGCAGCTCAGGAGATCTAACGGCAGGGGATAAGTGCTTCAGAAACCATCATGCATTTATTCTTCACAGCAACCTTATGAGGTAGGCAATTTGAGAACAGGCTCAGAGAAGTTATGCAATTCCTATCCAAGGTTACCCAGTTGGTAAGAGGTGGCATCGGGATTCAAACTCCTATCTTTTGATTAAATCCAGTGTTCCTTCTAATACACAATGCTGTCAGAAATAATGACTTGGTACACATCTTTCTCCTCTAGTAGACAGCACGCTTTTGGGGAGATCAGACTGTCTTGATTGTCTTTGAATGTCTAGTATTTACCATAACACCTTTTGCTCAATAACCATTTGCCATTTAACTGAGAGCCATTTAATTAGCTGGTATCTATGCTACAGGGCTGGCTGAAATCTCCAAGGTACAAACTGCATATAGCAAAAAGAAGGCTGTCATGAACAGAACCATGGAGCATCCTGGTCTCAAGGGGACAGGGAAAACACATGAGAGGAAAGTAGTCACAGAGATGAAACAGAACCAGAATAGGCAGTGCTACCCAAGGCAAAGCCATGAGTACCAAATGCTTTACATTAATCAAGGGAGAGGAGGACTGACCCCAAAATGCTTTACAATTTAGAAATTAAGAAATTGATTCAACCTTCAAAAGCTGGAGGACAGGTTCGATTGTAAGGGGTTGAAGTGTTGACAGTAAAAAAAAAAAAAAAAAAAATTCAAGACAATCAATGTTGACTAGTCTGAAGAAGTTTGATTAGAGGTGCTGTGTATTTATTTTTCTTTGACCATGAACATCTATTAACTTTTTTTTTTTTGAGGCTTTAAGATGAAATGAAAATGAGGAAAAACGTGGTTGTTCAAAGAGGGGCCATGAGTTAGGGGGAAAAATCAGAGTATCTGAGCATGCTTACACAGAGGGAAACAAGCTAGAAAAAAATAAAGAAGGTCTAATAAAAAGATAACTGACAAAATGAAATCTTGGAGAAAACTAAGGAAACAGGTCTAGGAAAATAGCAGGGACACCCCTTGTAAAGGAGAGTCTTCCAAGAGTAGGGAATAAGAAAATGATGAAAAGAGTTAGAAAGCAATTCTGAGATGCAAGGTGGTCTGGGGACAGCTGCAAAGGAGGCAAGGTCACGTCAGAGAGGTTATCAGTCCTTGCATCAAATTAAGACAAGGTTAATCCATTAACAGTGATGGAAAAAGGAGTAGAACTGAAGGCTTCTGAAATGAAGAGACTGTTTGGAGCAGGTGCTGGGAGAAATGTGGTAAGAAATGAGATAGAAGTGAAATGACTGCCAAACAATAAGGGCCTCCCTGAGATTAGAGAGAATGAATCTGTAACAACAGGTAAATAATCAAAATATCTCCCAATTATTCCAAACTACATGTTTAAAAGATGAAGTATAAGCACAAAAAATATACCAGATCACTGATGGCTGGATTTAATAACTCAATGTAATTTCTTAAAAAAAGCAATTTGGCAATACAAGAGCTTTAAAATGTTAATACCCTCTGACCTAATTCTCTTTCTAGGAATCTATCTTAAGGCAATACTCAGGAACTCAAAGACAGTCCTTGTCAAATGGGAAACAGTGCAGCGTGGTAGAAAGAGCACAGGCCTTAGTCAGTCAGATTTGGGTTTGAATCCTGACTCTGCCACCTGATAGCTGTGTAACTTTGCTTAACCTCTCTGAGCCTTGGTTTCCTCATCTGTAAAACGAAGATGACAGTAACTAGATTACAAAGTTGTTGTGAAAATAAGATAATGCACTATAAAGCAAAGGAGAAAATGACAGTTACTATTAAAACTTATAATGGTACAGTAGATACAAATACCAGTAACTGAATGGTTGTATAAATTATAGTATAGGCCGGGCACAGTGGCTCACGCCTGTAATCCCAGCACTTTAAGAGGCCAAGGTGGGTGGATCACCTGAGGTCTGGAGTTCAAGATCAGCCTGGCCAACATGGCAAACTCTGTCCTTACTAAAAATACAAAAATTAGCTGGGCGTGGCGGCACGCGCCTGTAGTACCAGCTACTCAGGGTATCTGAGGCAGGAGAATCATTTGAACCTGGGAGGCAGAGGTTGCAGTGAGCCGAGATTGCACCACTGCACTCCAGCCTGGGCAACAGAGCGAGACTCCATCTCAAAATAAAATAAAATGAAATAAAATAGAAAATAAAAAAATTATAGTATAATCTGATAATGAAACATTGCATAGTCACTAAAAATGGGATTTCCAAAGAACTTAAAAAAAAATTTCAGTGTACAGAATTACTTACTCGTCATCTGGAGTGAGCTGGACAGGTTCATTAGTAAACTGAGAATCAAAGTTGTCCAAACCAAATTCCCCAGAAATATTTGGTTTAAAGGGAGGTACCACCTGTTTTTGCTCCATCTGAAAAGACATACTGGATGACAGCTCAAGTCTGTATTCTTAGAAAAACTCCACCTCTACAGTTCTCCTCTGCACTCATTGTTTACCTTATTAAAGTGAGTCCTGAAGCATGGTTCAATGATATTAGCAATGATGAACATAATTTACAAATATGAGCTGGGCATGGCGGCTCACGCCTGTAATCCCAACCGCTTGGTAGGTTGAGATGGGAGGATCACTTGAGGCCAGGAGTTCAAGACCAGCCCAGACAACATAGCAAGATCCCATCTCTATAAAAAAATTAAAAATTGGCTGGGTGCAGTGGCTCACGCCTGTAATCCCATCACTTTGGGAGGCCAAGGTGCGCAGATCACCTGAGGTCAGGGATTCAAGACCAGCCTGGCCAACATAGCTAAACCCCGTCTCTACTAAAAATACCGAAATTAGCCAGGTGTGGTGGCACACACCTGTAATCCCAGCTACTCTGGAGGCTGAGACAGGAGAAATCGCTTGAACCCAGGTGGCGAAGGTTGCAGTGAGCTGAGATTGTGCCACTACACTCCAGCCTGGGAGACAGAGCAAGACACCATCTCAAAAAAAAAAAAAAAAAAAATTGAAAATTAGCTGGGTACCATGGCTTATGCCTGTAGTCCCAGCTACTTGGGAGGTTACACAGGAGGATCTCTTAAGCTCAGGAGTTCAATCAAGGCTGTCGTGAGCTACACTACAGCCTGGGCAACGGACTGAGACTGTTTCTCCTAAAAAAATAAAAACAAGTATAAACATTGATATGGGCCTTAATAACATTACAACCTGCTTTATTACATTAATATTCAATTTTTTGGCTGGGCATGGTGGCTCACCCCTGGAATCCCAGCACTTTGGGAGGCTGAGGCGGGTGGATCACTTGAGGTCAAGAGTTCAAGACCAGCCTGGCCAACATGATGAAACCCCGTCTCTACTAAAAATACAAAAATTAGCTGGGCGTGGTGGCGTGTGCCTGTAATCCCAGCTACTCAGGAAGCTGAGGCAGAATTGCTTGAACCCAGGAGGTGGAGGTTGCAGTGAGCAGAGATCACACTACTGCACTCCAGCCTGGGTGACAGAATGAGACTCCGTCTCAGAAAAAAAATAATAAATTAAAAAAAAATTGAATTTTTTTTTTGTTTTAAAAGTTTTCTAAAAAGCAGTTTAGAAAGTGGTTTTAAGTTTTTAAAGCTGTGATATGTTAGCTAAGACAATAAAATTTGGCCCGAGATAGGCCGGGTGTGGTGGCTCACATCTGTAATCCCAGCACTTTGGGAGGCCGAGGTGGGTGTATCACCTGAGGTCAGGAGTTCGAGACCAGCCTGGCCGACATTGTGAAACCCCCCCCATCTCTACTAAAAATACAAAAATTAGCTGGGCATGGTGGTGAGTGACTGTAATTCCAGCTACTAGGGAGGCAGAGACAGAACTGCTTGAACTCGCGAGGCGGAGGTTGCAGTGAGCTGAGATCGTGCCATTGTACTCCAGCCTCGGTGACAGAGCAAGACTCTGTCTAAAAACAAACAGAACAACAACAAAAAATTGGCCCAAGATAATAATGAAACCTAATAGTTGAGTAATCAAAATTTACATACCATATCCCAATCAACATTTCGGAAGAACGGGTGTCCCTGAATATCAGCAAATCCTGTTTGAGGATGACAACCCAATCGTTCCTTAGGGTCCTATGGTGAAAGAAATGTTTCAAGAATTGGGTGAATGTCATGCTTTAAAATAAATCATCTTTGTGATCTGTGTTGTGTGCCCTCACATGATACTCTTATTTCTGAAGTTGGAATGGTCTACCTTTTATTTCTAGAAAGTACAACTCCAGAACAAATTGAGTTATTTGAAACTTGTGATTCCTCAAGGCACTTTCTCCACCCATCATGTAATTAAAACAGAGAATCATCACCAATTCCTTGCTAAAGAAAAACAGGAGGAAAAAGAGAACAGCAGAATCATTTGACAGCACCCAGCCATTTCTTTGCATGACCTAGTGTGAGAGTCAAAACATGCAAACCTCCAAACTTCATGAGAAGTTTGTTTTTAGCTTAATTTAAAATCCCCATGCCCAATTATAGCAACAAACCACCACCTGTGTAAGACAATGATACAACCATTATCTGAATCACTGGACTGAGGAGCCTGCAACTTATAAAAAGTCTTGGCTTATTCATCACTATGAATGAGAATATGTTCCCATTTTTCTTTCTGATAAAAGGTATTTTATTTTGCATATCAACACCTCTTGCCTTCATTTTTCACTATGTGAAAAATTAGGTTTCAAGTTTAAATCTTTCCTCACATAAATTGTTCATTTTTTAAAAGGCTTCAATTTCTTATTTTATTAAAACTCATTATCTTATCTATTTACCTTAGAAGGTAAATGTACATCAACTTTTCTATCATACCATTTATTTAAAGTAGAATTTATAATTGCCAAGACCACACTCCTAGATCCTAAAACTCCTCTAGCCTACCAACAGCAACAAACAATTGAATGATGTTCACATTTTTAAGAGCCAAAGATAGCATTTCATTTCTTCCGAATCTTACCTAATTATAGCATTTTTGACATGAGAATTTGTAGGGAGCACTGCGGCCCACGTGCTCAAAAAGTACATGGTAATAAATAGATTCTATGGATAATGATACAGAGAAAATGGAAACAGAGTTCAAAGTACAATTATGGCTAAACCCAAAGATTAACTCTTCCCCTATGTGAGAATATGGTATATATTATTTACACATACACAAAAATTATGTAATATATAGCTGGGGAGTAAATTTTATTGCCAAAATGGAAAGGACAACTAACTTATCTCAGGATCTAATGCTGTCAATTACTCTTTGGGTAAGAGACAAATTCTGGGTCAAACTGAAAAAGTTACATTCTCTACTGTTTTGGAATTTTACATTTCCCAAACCGCTACTGACCAGTTTGATATATATAGAAAGAGACAAATCACAAAATATTCTTATACACAATTTATACCTTATTAAGAAAACTCTTCAGAACACTTGCAGCTTTTACAGACAGAGAACGTGGTATGCGAATTTGTTTTTCCAAAATAACTAGAAAGATAAAAATTATAGTATTATATTTAACTTTTACATGGCTTTAATCTTTTTTCTTCTTTTTTGAAAGGGGCTTGTTCTGTTGCCCAGGTTGGAGTGCAGTGATGCAATCACAGCTCACTGCAGCTTTGACCTCCCGGGCTTAAGCAATCCTTCCACCTCAACCTCCCAAGTAGCTGGGACCACAGGCGCCACCATCACGCTCGGCTAAATTTTTTTTTTTTTTTTTTTTGAGATGGAGTCTTGTTTTGTCATCCAGGCTGGAGCACAGTGGCACGATCTCAGCTCACTGCAACCTCTGCCTCCCGGGTTCAAGTGCTTCTACCACTTCAGCCTCCTGAGTAGCTGGGATTACAGGCGTGTGCCACTATGCCCAGTGAGTTTTGTGTTTTTGGTAGAGATGGGGTTTCACCATGCTGGCCGGGCTGGTCTCAAACTCCTGACCTCATGAAGGTAAGTGATCCGCCCACCTCAGCCTCCCAAAGTGCTGGGATTACAGGTGTGAGCCACTGCGCCCAGCAATGGCTGGCTAATTTTAAATTTTTTTGTAGAGATAAGGGTCTCACCATATTGCTCAAGCTGGTCTTGAACTCCTGGGTTCAAGCAATCCTCCTGCCTTGGACTCCCAAAGTGCTGGGATTACAGGTGTGAACCACTGCACCTGGCAATCTTTAAATTTCTTTTTTCTTTTTTTTTTGAGACAGAGTGTCACTGTCTTGCCCAGACTGGAGTGCAGTGGCACGATCTCAGCTCACTGCAACCTCCGCCTCCAGGCTGAAGTGATTCTCCTGCCTGAGCCTCCTGAGTAGTTAGGATTACAGGTGCCCGCCACGACGCCCAGCTAATTTTTTTTTATTTTTAGTAGAGACGGGGTTTTGCCATGTTGGCCAGGCTGGTCTCAAACTCCTAACCTCAAGTGATCCGCCCATCTCGGCCTCCCAAAGTGCTGGGATTACAGATGTGAGCCACTATGCCTGGGTGCAATCTTTAAATTTTTATTATAAGATATTTAAGGCATTCCAGGAAAAAAAATAAGATATTACATATATAACTGAAGTGCCTCCTGTACTTTCCTAAACCCCTTCTTTTCCCATCTTCTCAGAGAAAGCCTCTAATCTGAATACTATTTATCATTTACATGAATGTCTTATTCTTTGACTACCTAATTATGCCTCAGTTTCCTCATCTGTAAAATAGGAATAAAAAAATACTTCATAGGATTGTTATGAGGTTTAAATGAGTTAACATTTGTAAAATGCTTAGCATATATAATATGCAATTTTTTTGGACACTGCCAAATTATTCTTTAAAGCTGTTGTGTCAGTTTTCATTCCTACCAGCAGTCTAGAAGAGTTCCAGTTGCTCCACATCCTCACCAGCACTGGTATTACCCAACTTTAATATTTTGATCAAATGTACCGATATGAAATGGTAACTCATTAACATTTAATGTGCATTCCCTTAATTGCTAGTGAGACTGAATGTCTTTTCACATATTCCATGGCCATTTGGGCATGAAATGCCTATTTATATCCTGTGATGGCTTTAATTATTAAATGTAGAATTTTATAGTAGTTTTCATACTTCTTTGGATTCTGTGCTAGAGGTCCCTGCACTTGTCTGCTTGTTTCTGTCAATTCTGTATATTCCCTGATGTGGGGCCTTTTTTCCCCATCTTTTGATCACTCATCATCTTGGTGCTCTATTTTCCCCTCATACTGTTCTTGAACTTATGCACTCAGCCTCAGGGTCCCTGTGTAAAGATTATCTCTCTAGCCACAGGATTCCTTTCTCCAATCTGTTTGTGATGGATAATTCTAAATAACCCCTGTTATGATTTTGAGTATGAGAAGGTAACTGTGAACAGGAGTGAAGACTATAGAAAAGAAAGAATGTATTAAAAAACATCAAAACCTAATACACAGAGGCCAGGTGCAGTGGCTCATGCCTGTAATCTCAGCATGCTGGGGAGGCTGAGGTGGGCAGATCACTTGAAGTCAGGAGTTCAAGACCAGCCTGGCCAACATGGTGAGACCCTGTCTCTACTAAAAATACAAAATTTAGCCGGGCATAGTGGTGTGTGCCTGTAATCCCAGTTACTCGGGAGTGTGCCTGTAATCCCAGTTACTCGGGAGGCTGAGGCAGAAGAATTGCTTGAACCAGGGAGGTGGAGGTTGCATGGAGCCGAGATTGCGCCCCTGCACTCCAGCCTGGGCAAAAGAGTGAGACCTTGTCTCAAAAACAAACAAAAACAACAACAAAACCTAATACCACCAGTCAGGATTATATTTTCCAGATTATGCTCATTTTTCTTACTCAAAGTAGTAACCTGAATCACTCTCATTTGTACTCTAGAATAGGTTTTTCTCAGAGAATCTCTGTAAAATACTCCAAATTACCTTGGAAGAGATAATCCTCTGTGTTCTGGTCAGGGTTATCGGAGCTCCCAACAATATCAAATGGAGACCTTCCTGCCATCATCTCAAACATGAGCACTCCAAGAGCCCACCAGTCAACACTGAAACCTTCAGAAAGAAATTTTAAAGCAATAAATTATACACTTTGCATTCTTGAAAGTTAGTAACTGGAAATTTTATCACATAAAGGAAAAAGAAACAATGAAAAAGTAAACTCTAAATGCATTCCAACTATCATGGTAGGCACTGAAGATTATAGAAATGCTTCATTTATCAACAAGGGTAGGTACCTAAAAGATAATTTTAAAAATAAAATTATGAGAAAAAAAAACTTTCTTTCTCCATGTATTTCTACTTTCAGACTCATGCCCAATATCTAATATTGTGTGTTGAGGATATAATTAAATTGTATTTCAGAGTAATCTCCTTGGTCTTTTTTTTTTTTTTTTTGAGATGGGGTCTCACTCTGTCGCCCAGGCTGGAGTGCAGTGGTGCAATCTCGGCTCACTGCAAGCTCCACCTCCCGGGTTCACGCCATTCTCCTGCCTCGGCCTCCCGAGTAGCTGAGACTACAGGCACCTGTGAACACGCCCGGCTAATTTTTTGTGTTTTCAGTAGAGACAGGGTTTCACCATGTTAGCCAGAATGGTCTCGATTTCCTGACCTCGTGATCCGCCTGCCTCGGCCTCCCAA
This sequence comes from Homo sapiens, assembly GCF_000001405.40. Lineage (NCBI taxonomy): Eukaryota > Metazoa > Chordata > Mammalia > Primates > Hominidae > Homo > Homo sapiens. Next base: position 170,292,797 of record NC_000003.12, on the reverse strand, counting down.
AGTGCTGGGATTACAGGTGTGAGCCACCGCGCCCGGCTATATGTTGGCAACTGCTGGAGGTGTGGACAGGGGCTTTTTTTTTTTTTTTGAGACAGAGTTTCACTCTGTCGCCCAGGCTGGAGTGCAGTGGCACAATCTCGGTTCACTGCAAGCTCCGCCTCCCGGGTTCACGCCATTCTCCTGCCTCCTTGGTCTTAAACTTGATCTTTTGCTAGCTGATAAAGACCAGTGAAGGACAGTGGATTCAGACTTTGAGCAGCTCTCACAAGTACCACATTGTCCTTTATATCTGCTGAAGGCAGAGGGCCAAAACCCAAAAAGTCAAATGTTTTCTCAAGATAAGTGTATCTTCGGGTGCCTGAGATACAGTTAATCTTTCCACCATCTTTCAGATTCCTGGGGCAAATATCCCAGGAAATCTGAAAAATTTTCCAGGGGTTCATGACTCTGGAGTCACATGGGTGCTGTTCTGAATCCTTGACCTTAGGCGAGTTATTTAAACTTTCCGTATGTCAGTTTCTTCAACTGTAAAAGGAGAATTAATAGTACTTACCTCACAGGGTTGTTAAGAGGATTAACTTAGTTAATATATGTAAACTGCTTAGAATAGTGCCTGCTACTGTTTAGTGTTTGCCACTAATAAAATATTATTCAGCTTGGTACCCCCAAATACTGCCAAGGTCCCACTGTCTCGATTTCAAAGTCTGGGACTCTCCATGTAGTTTTTAACAGGATCAAGAATCCTTATATTAATAAGATCACGTCAAAATGCATTAGTGTACTGTAATGCAATTGGTACCACATTTTACCACCCATCTAGCAATAGCTAAAATAATACCACCAATTTATTTATTACCATAATCTTCTCCTCTTAAAATTTCAGGAGCAATGTAATTAGGAGTACCACAGAAAGTGCTGGTTGTATCTCCTGGCCGTAATCCTTCCTTTTATTAAAAAGAACAGAAAGAAAGAATGAGATAAAAAGTTCTGTTTTAAATTCACCCTTTCTATTTCACCTATCATATAAGTTCAGCATCTGCAGTGATACATTAAGCTCACTTAACATCACTAGAACAATTGCCTTTATTATTATTATTATTTTTGACAGGGTCTTGCTCTGTCGCCCAGGCTGGCATGCAGTGGCACGATCTCAGCTCACTACAACCTCCACCTCCTGGGTTCAAGCAATTCTTGTGTCTCAGCCTCCTGAGTAGCTGGAATTACAGGCATGCACCAACACACCCAGCTAATTTTTGTATTTTTAGTAGAGACAGGGTTTCACCATGTTGGCCAGGCTGGTCTCGATCTCCTGGCCTCAAGTGATCCACCTGCCTCGGCCTCCCAAAGTGCTGGGATTACAGGCATGAGCCATCATGCCTGGCAACTGCCTTTATTATTAAAATCACAGATCACCACTAAATAGCTTGAAGAAAACCTGTCCTCATTAGATGTTGCTAGAGTTGATTCAATTAAGGTACGACTTGAATTTAAAATAATTTACATACAAGTTAAAATTTAATAACAAAATTTTAATATTAGTAGAATAAGGCATATTTCATGAAGAAAAGAAGCACTTTAAATCTCACCTCCTAATACAACCATTGATAAGACTACAATATTTTCCTTCTGTTTATTTTTCCTAAGAACACTTTTTTTTTTTTGGAGACAGAGTTTCACTTTGTTGCCCAGGCTGGAGTGCAATGGCACAATGTCAGCTCACTGCAACCTCCGCCTCCCGGATTCAAGCAATTCTCCTGCCTCAGCCTCCAGAGTAGCTGAGATTATAGGCGTGTGCCACCACACCCAACTAATTTTGTATTTTTAGTAGAAAATGGGGTTTCTCCATGTTGCTCAGGCTGGTCTCAAACTCCTGACCAGATGATCTGCCCACCTCGGCCTCCCAAAGTGCTGGGATTACAGGCATAAGCCACCATGCCGGGCCTGTATTTTAATAGCTGTAGGATGGAAAAAAAATAAGGCAAAACACACTAACAGGCAGAGTAAAGGAACTACCCAATAATTAATGGGACAATCACCAAGAAATTGTAACAAATATACACTTGCATACACTCAACAACATGGCCTCAAAATACAAAGAGTAAAAAAGGACAAAATTATTAGGAGAATTTCACAATCTCCAATCATAATAGGAGAAGTTAATATGAGAATAATCTATATTAGAAAATGATAGATCACACATACTAAAAATCAGTAGGCAGAGAAAGATTTGGAAAAAAGCTAGAGTTAAAATATATATATATATATACAAAATACATATACATGTAGAATATATGTACGTCTATATGTGTGTGTGGAGTGAGGGAGAAGGAAGAGAGACATTAGAGAGAGAGACTCCCTGCATGTAAAGATTATATATCCTTTTAAGTACACATGGGCTACTGGCCATATATTAGGTCATAAAGGAAATCTCAATGTATTCCAATGAACTAATATTCAAACCATTCTCTGGCCAAAAGGCAAATAAAAAAAAAATCAACAATAAAAAAGTCTAAAGACAACTGAATCATACATAATTAAGCATGTTTTAAAACTTTGTAAGCATTTCCTACACAACCGAAGACTTTCTAATATTAACAACTATATGAAATTCAACAGAACATATGTACCTAGAACTTAACCACTTTCCTATAGATTATACGGTACAAAATTCTAAACCAAAAAAGAGGGGCAGCACAAAACTCAAGCCTTCCTTTTTTTTTTTTTTGAGACCGAGTTTCGCTCTGTCATCCAGGCTGGAGTTCAGTGGCGTGATCTTGGCTCATTGCAACCTCTGTCTCCCAGGTTCAAGTGATTCTCACGCCTCAGCCTCCCAAGTAGCTGGGATTACAGGTGCATGCAACCACGCCTGGCTTTTTTTTCTTCTTTTAAGATGGAGTTTCGCTCGTTACCCAGGCTGGAGTGCAATGGTGCGATCTCGGCTCACTGCAACCTCTGCCTCCCAGGTTCAAGCGATTCTCCTGCCTCAGCCTCCCAAGTAGCTGGGATTACAGATATGCACCACCACGCCCACCTAATTTTTTATTTTTAGTAGTGACGGGGTTTCACCATGTTGGTCAGGTTGGTCTCGAACTCCTGACCTCAAGTGATCCACCCGCCTCGGCCTCCCAAAGTGCTGGGATTACAGGAGTGAGCCACTGTGCCGAGCCTCTGGCTTTTTGTATTTTTAGTAGAGATGGGGTTTTGCCATGTTGGCCAGGTTGGTCTCAAACTCCTGACCTCAGGTGATTCACTCACCTTAGCCTCCCAAAGTGCTGCGATTACAGGCGTGAGCACTGTGCCCGGCCCTTCCTTCCATTCTTGTCCCTGACTCACCCAGTTCCAGCTCCCTAGAGGCAACCACTATTATGTGGCCCTCCAGAGACATTCTGGGCATGGTGAACATATTTTTCTTCAAATTTCACCCTGTTATATATAACACTGCTATAAACATCTAGAAGAAATATTTAGTAATATGTTGTGACTCCAAGAATTTTAAAATGATTTCTAAAAGGGATATTATATGCTATTTTTAGAAATATGAATATGGTTTTTATTGTTTTCTATTATTGGCAACGGCAATACATTCTCATGAAAAATGACATGTACTTTCAGTACAATAGTCAGAGGTAAGAGATGTAGTCTGTTAACTTGTAACAGCTATGCTTAATCATTCACTTGTTGACTGAATGTCAGAATGTAGGTCCATTTGCTAAGTTTTCTGCAGCATAACAGATATTATTAGAATTCCTCTGTTGATGAAAAAAACACTTAAAGGCACATCAGTTCATAAAACCACGAAAGGCTGCCACTTAATAAAATCAACGTTCATAAAATATTTCAAACATAACTCTAAAGATACTAATTCAAGTTTTCATCACTATCCTCTGCAATCTTTATAAAGAAATTCATCCAACACTTGCATGAAGTCAAGCTTCAGGTAAGTTAAATATTGACACTAAGTCATAAAAGAGCATTCAAACTTTTGGAGGGTTAATTTCTCATAAGCTTTATTTTTTATTTTATTTTATATGTATATATTTTGAGGCGGAGTCTCACTCTGTTGCCCAGTCTGGAGTGCAGTGCAGTGGTGTGATCTTAGCTCACTGCAATCTCCACCCCACCCCAGGTTCAAGAGATTCTTCTGCCTCAGCCTCCCAAGTAGCTGGGATTACAGGCACTCGCCACCACACCTGGCTAGTTTTTGTGGTTTTAGCAGAGATGGGTTTTCACCATGTTGGCCAGGCTGGTCTCAAACTCCTGACCTCAAGTAATCCGCCTGCCTTGGCCTCCCAAAGTGCTGGAATTATAGGCGTGAGCCACTGCACCCGCCCTAGGCAGCTCTTGGAGAAGGAGGAAAGGCAGAAAGGGAGGTAGGAGGACATTTGATTTAAAGACCTACTCGATAAAGATCTCAGATTTATGAAACACCTTGACTAACTTGATTGAGGATCCCTGTAAGAAATGAAAATGTATAAGAAGCCAATATTATTTTCCAGTAAGAGTAACAAAAGACTAAGAAAGACAAAAAGAGAAAAGTCCTTTTTTTTTTTTTGAGACGTAGTCTCACTCTGTTGCCCAGGCTGGAATGCAGTGGCGCGATCTCGGGTCACTGCAAGCTCCGCCTCCCGGGTTCTCGCCATTCTCCTGCCTCAGCCTCCCGAGTAGCTGGGACTACAGGCGTCCGCCACCACGCCTGGCTAATTTTTTTGTATTTTTAGTAGAGACGGGGTTTCACCATGTTAGCCAGGATGGTCTCAATCTCCTGACCTGTGATCCGCCTGCCTCGGCCTCCCAAAATGCTGGGATTACAGGTGCAAGCCACCGCACCCGGCCAAGAGAAAAGTCTTAATTCATTTTTGTGATTTTCTTTTTTTTTTTTTTTTTTTTTTGAGACAGAGTCTCACTTTGTCACCCAGACTGGAGTGCAGTGGCACAATCTCCACTCACTGCAACCTCTGCCTCCAGGTTCAAGCAATTCTCCTGCCTTAGTCTCCTGAGTAGCTGGGACCACAGGTGTGCCACCATGCCCAGCTAATCTTTTGGTGTTTTTAGTAGAGACAAGATTTTACCATGTTGGCCAGGCTGGTCTCAAACTCCTGACCTCAAGTGATCTGCCTGCCGGGCCTCCCAAAGTGCTGAGATTACAGGTGTGAGCCATCACACCCTGCCCATTTTGATTGTTTAAACAATGCAGTGATTCCATTAAAGGTGTTATTTAAAAATAACATTTTAAAATGTTATTAAAATGCATTAGTGTACTGTAATGCAATTGGTAACCACATTTAACATAACATTTTAAAATAACAACTTGAAAAATGCTGAAAAGTAAACAGAATCAACGTGTGATGCTACATAACAGAATGATACATAAAAGAATCAGACAATTCTATATGTTAAGACTTCATCTGTTATAAGCATTATGTATATACATATATATATTTATTACTCTCTCTCTCTCTATATATATATATATTTTAGATAGGATCTCACTCTGTCACCCAGACTGGAGTGCAGTGGCGCGATTACAGCTCACTACAGCCCCAGGCTCAAGTGATCCCCCCATCTCAGCCTCCCAAGTAGCTGGGACTACAAGCACAACCAACCCAGTGTAATTTTCCTATTTTTTGTAGAGATGGAGTTTTGCCATGTTGCCCAGGCTGGTGTCGAACTTCTGAGCTCCAGCAATCTGCCTGCCTCGGCCTCCCAAATTGCTGGGATTACAGGTCTGAGCCATCATGTGTTATGTATTTTTTACAAATATCTTCAGTCGGGCGTGGTGGCTTGCTTTCCTTGTTAACTGGAACAAAATTATCCTCACATAGTAACATGACAAATATGTAAATGTATGAACTGCATTCCCCATTCACCTGAGGAAAGTGCCTCCAGAGCCTGGAGATTATCTAAATGCTAACATTATGAACTCTTGGGTTTGAGACGAGCCTGGGCAACACAGCGAGACCTCGTCTCTATTTAAAAAAAAAAAAAAGAAAGTAAAAATAAAATAAAAATAAAGATCTTCTTAAATGACTTTATAATATTGATCATAAACTACAATAAAAGTTTTGGTCAGAAATCTCTCCTCATAAACCAAAATATTTACTCAGAATATCCAAGGGCAGAATTACCGGATCAAAGAACATGGCCATCTTTAGGATTCCTGATAATTCCCCCATCAAACTGCTTCTCAAAAGGTTTGTAACAATTTATATACACACCAGTGACATATGCCCATTTCTTTAAACTCTTGTACATACAGGCTATTCTAACTTTAAAACCCGTATCTCACAGGCAAAAAAAAAAAAAAAAAAAAAAGCCTCATTGTTTTAATTTGTGCACTTCGTATGAAGGGTAATACTCTCCATGTTTTTTGTTCAGTTTCATTTATTCTTGGGGATAAGACTCCTCTATCACTGTCACTTTTTTCTGAAATGAGAAAAAAATCCCTTAGGAAAAAAAATGACACAGAGATCAAAAAGGTACCACAAATATAAGTGATAGGTACATAGGGGTTCCACTCGCTAAGCTTTCTAATTGTTTATGATTGAAAACTTGTATAATATAAATACGTAAGGGCCGGGCATGGTGGCTCACATCTGTAATCCCAGCACTTTGGGAGGCTGAGGCGGGTGGATCACCTGAGGTCAGGAGTTCGCGACCAGCCTGGCCAACATGGTGAAACCCCGTCTCTACTAAAAATACAAAAAAATTAGCCGGGCATGGTGGCAGGTGCCTGTAATCCCAGCTACTCAGGAGGCTGAGGCAGGAGAATTGCTTGAACCTGGGAGGTGGAGGTTGCAGTGAGCCGAGATTGTGCCATTGTACTCCAGCCTGGGCAATAAGAGCAAAACTCTGTCTCAAAAATTAAAAAAAAAAAAAAAAAATTAAAATTAGCCAGGGATGGTGGGGCGCACCTTAATCTCAGCTACTTGGAAGGCTGAGGCTGGAGAACGGCTTGAATCCAGGAGGCGGAGGTTGCAGTGAGCCAAGATTGTGCCATTGCACTCCAGCCTGGACGACAGAGCGAGACTCTGTCTCCAAAAAAAAAAAACAACAATAATTAATTAATAAGTATCATGTGAAAAGTACGGTTGAATTCTGTACATAAAAGCAAACATAGTTTAAGTGAAGATTTTATTCTTTAATGCATGCTGAACAGATAATAAAGTTAAATCTTCGATACAACTAGGTTGTCATATGCCATGTTGTTAGCATTTAGATAATCTCCAGGCTCTGGAGGCACTTCCCACAGGTGAACAGGGAATGCAATTCACACATTTACATACTGGTTGTTGTATTGCTATGTGAGGATAATTTTGTACCAGTTACCTTAACAAGGAATAGTTCCTTACACATTTAGTGGGAAAATATCAGACATTTAAAATGGAACACTGTTATAAAAGAATAAAACATCAAGAAATAGGCCAGGCGCGATGGCTCACGCCTGTAATCCCAGCACTTTGGGAGGCTGAGGCAGGCGGATCATGAGATCAGGAGATTGAGATCATCCTGGCTAACATGGTGAAACCCCGTCTCTTCTAAAAATACAAAAACTTAGCTGGGCGTGGTGGCAGGCGCCTGTAGTCCCAGCTACTCGGGAGGCTGAGGCAGGAGAATGGCGTCAACCCGGGAGGCGGAGCTGGCACTGAGCCGAGATTGCGCCACTGCACTCCAGCCTGGGGGACAGAGCAAGACCCTGTCTCAAAAAAAAAAAAAAAAAAAGAAATGAAGACATATTCCGGGAGTAACTGAAATTCTTGTTTTATCCTATTATGCTTTATGTCAGATGTTTAAAATTTAAATATAAAAAATGTTTGACTTCTGAGGAAAATCCTGAATGCATTATATAAGATTCACTACTAAATGGCAAAAATTGGAAGGTCATATGCAAATGGTTGTGTTAAGTAGTGGAATTGCAGACAATTTTTATTTCCAAATTGTCTTCAATTGTATTTCAACTTTCAAGATAAAAAGTTATGTATAATAAAAAGAAATTAGCTCTTATTGTAGTACACATAACACAGAAGATACAAATTTTGCAAATGGTTAGAAAAAAAGTACATTTGTCTTTGTGCTAGAATTCCACAAAGCTTAAGTAAATTAGCAAAATTAGTAATCATTTCCTCATCTTTAAACATGAAGTTATTTTACAAAGACTACTAGCTGCTGAAGACCTTTTAAAATAACTAGAAAATTTTCCTCACCTTACACATGCCGTAGTCAGTGAGTTTAATGTGGCCTTCAGAGTCCAGTAATACATTGTCCAGTTTCAAATCTCTATAAATTATCCCTCGCTCATGAAGATAATTTAATGCTAGACTGATTTCTGCAGAGTAAAATCTAAAATTAAATAAAAAATAAGTCATTTGATTCAACCATATTTAAGTTCTACATTTACAACTGGAAACACAAAAATTCATATTAAAACATATTTTTTTCTCCCAGTGATTTTAGGAACAAATTTGAAAAATGAACTGAAGTACCACTTTAAAACATCTGAGCCCAAGACACAATTGTAAAAGTTCCTGTCTAACTTAAACTCACATTTTTCATAAAGCTATTAATTTGATAGTCTCAAACAGGGGTTCTCAATCTGGGTCCTTGGGTGAACTTCAGGCAGTCCATACTTCTACAACTGGGGGCAAAGGTGTATGCCCGTATGTACATGCACAGTATCTACAGAGTCCTCAAAGCTTTCATCACTTCTCTAAGGGACCCGTGATCCTCCGAGAAGGCTAAGAACCACTAATGGGGTCGAGAATAGAAAGAATACTACAAGCTGACTACTCAATACTATAAAATCCTCATGAAGGTTTTAGAAAAGGAATTAAATGAAAATATTCTACAACTATAAACAACTGTAAAATTTAATATTAAATGAAGAACTTAAAAAAACTGCTACCAACTCACTGGTGACAACCCAGAACTTTTGGCCTGAATAATGAAAATGGAATGCCTGAGCTGATGTATGGCTGCTTTGGTGGCACATTATCATGATCATGTGTGGAGGTACGTAACATACACCTCCTAGCTACTTAATTCCGTGATTTGGGAACTTAAGCCCTTGTCCTGGGCTTTAGTTCTTACAAAAGCAAAGATGGTATAAAACCAAAACTGGCACATTAATATAGTAAAAACCAGACTAGCTTTCCCACATTCAACTGAACAAACAAGGAACAAATATTGGCTATGTTCACAATTCAAAATATCATCTGTGGCTCTATGAAGGGTGACCATTTGATAAGGCATAAATACACAATGAACATAAATGAACACCAAAACAACAACAAAAAAACCCAAATAAACAAAAAACCCAGGTTGGCCTCAAGATTAGACAAGTACAATTTATATCTTCTTATGAAATTTTTGACAAGCAATAATGAAGTAGCAAATTTTCTACAAGTTTTTAATTTAAATGAAATTTCTAATATTTATTCCCTGCATGATAATAACATACATATACAAACTCACATGCTTCATTTTGGCATTACTCTTGTGAAGTAGGAAAGGGTGAGAATTACTGCTGATTACGGATAAGAAACAAAACATGGTACTGATGGATTAAACTTTTTACTCAAGGCCATGATCCCTTCCCACCTATCTCCTCCATCCAACACATAAACAATTTACAGTCTTGTATATTAATATCAAATTAAGGGCACAAAATTAATATTCAATACTTTTTTTTTTTTTTTTGAGACGGAGTCTCGCTCTTTCACCCAGGCTGGAGTGCAGTGGCGCAATCTCAGCTCACTGCAACCTCCGCCTCCCGGGCTCAAGCGATTCTCCTAATTCAGCCTCCCAAGTAGTTGGGACCACAGGTGCCCGCCACCACGCCCGGCTAATTTTTATATTTTTAGTAGAGATGGGGTTTCACCATGTTGGCCAGGATGGTCTCGATTTCTTGACCTCATGATCCACCCGCCTCGGCCTCCCAAAGTGCTGGGATTACAGGCATGAGCCACTGCGCCTGGCCTATTCGATATTATTTTATTCATCAATAATTATGGGATTAGAGGAAAAAAAAGCCAAAGAACAATAAATCACAGGAAGAACAGTCAGAAGTATATACTAGTTTAAGAGGGATCTTTTTTTTTTTTTTTTGAGACAGAGTCTTGCTCTGTTGGCCAGGCTGGAGTGCAGTGGTGCGATCTGGGCTCACTGCAACCTCCGCCTTCCGGGTTCAGACAATTCTCCTGCCTCAGCCTCCTGAGTAGCTGGGATTACAGGCACCCGCCACCACGACCAGCAAATTTTTGTATTTTTAGTAGAGACAGGGTTTCACCATGTTGGCCAGGCTGGTCTCAAACTCCTGACCTCAGGTGATCCGCCCGCCTCAGCCTCCCAAAGTGCTGGGATTAGAGGTGTGAGCCACTGTGCCCAGCCAGAGGGATCGTTTAATTACTCTCAAGTATGTATGAATAGCACTCTTATCGTGAAGAACTCTCTGAGAGACCACTACAAACCTGAAAAGACTAATAAGTGTTTATTAGTCTCAATTATTTAAATGGCTGATGCTACATAGACATAATATTTGAAAAGGATTGGTTTTAGCAGACTAAAGGTTTGCCTTTTAATACTGTTCACACTTTTCAATTGCTTAGGAAGCACTGTGTGCATGTGTATGTACATGTATGTGTATAAATGTAAAAGAATATATAATTGTTTTACATATATATAATGTAAATTAACTTTTAGCTCAGCCTCTGCATGACTTACAAATAATTAACTAGTATCAAAATAAATTATTTATCTACTGTTTCCAACCACTGCACATAAAAAGCCACATGGCCCCAAAAAGAAAACAACACAAACAGTAAACAAAAACTCACCTGGCATGTTCTTCAGGAAGTTTTCTTTGTCGCTGCATATGAAACATTAGGTCTCCTCCATTTACATACTCTATAACAAAGAACAATCTAAAACACAGGAGAGAACCCATGAAATCAAGATCCAAAATAAGGTAGTGTAACTTTGCATTTTCAGAAACCATCACAACAGAGAGCATTCTCTACTATTTAGCCTTTAAAAAGATGCCAAAATTTTGGTGGAAACAAAGGGTATCTAGGGTACGGAACATACGAGAAAGTAAACCAGCATGATAATAATTTTGTAACCTACTACTTCTGTTCTAAAGTAGTACCACTTGCAATCCAGAGCCACTCATTACCATCCTAATTTTAGCATTTGCTAAATAAGTCATTTTCGACTGTCAAGGTATTTTTCCTCCTTGTTAAATGCTAGAAAATTTTAAGTCATAAAACTAGAATACTGGGGATATTTAAAAGGTTGGATTTCTACTGCCATAATTACGACATGGCTATTTCCTGTTCTGCCTAAAGTAGGTCATTTCCTAATGCTGATCTAATATCAAACTGATATCACTGATGGCAGTATTATTAGCAGGAAGTTATAAGCCTAACACTGTTGCATCCTCCATGATATCAACTTCATGAATTAGGGCAGAAAGGTTCTAACTGTGTAATATGACCAAAAATATGAAGCCCAGTAATCATTCTACTATCTTTCAATCTTACCTGCTTTCTGTCTGAAAGCAAGAATGCAGCCCAACAAGGAAAGGATGATTGGATGCCTGCTCAAACACATGCTTCTCTGTCTGTACCCAATCAATATCCTATTTTGAAACATGTAAGAAATCTATGTCAAACTGATATCACAATTAATGATAAATTTGCTCTGAGCAATTCAATGGTCACAAATGCAATGGTTAACTAGGCTAAATATCAAAACCATTGATAATCATGAAACGAAAATTTACATACAAAGAGAAAAATAACACTAGTCAATCTTTCAGTATTATAAAACTGTCTAGAAAACTTTTACAAAGCTCAAGTATTTCTCCTGATAATAATGTGGTTTGATTTTTGTTTTTTTAAAAAAATCTAATAATCAAATTACTTTAAATATCTTATACCATCTATAAGAAAAGTAAACCGAAATAATATATTTCATTTACTTAGCACATATTTAGAAAAGCAGAATGAGATAATAAAGCACAAACATAGAGGTTTTCTTTAAAATAGTACTCTTGGCTGGGTGCGGTGGCTCACGCCTATATTCCTAGCAACTTTGGGAGGCTGAGGCGGGTGGATCACTTGAGGTCAGGAGTTCAAGAGCAGCCTGGCCAACATGGTGAAACCCCATCTCTACTAAAAATACAAAAATTAGCTGGGCATAGTGGTGCATGCCTGTAATCCCAGCTACTTGGGAGGCTGAGGCAGGAGAATCACTTGAACCTGGGAGGCAGAGGTTGCAGTGAGCCAAGATTGCACCACTAGCACTCCAGGCTGGGTGACAAGAGCGAAACTCCGTTTCAAAAAAAAAAAAGAATAGTATTCTCAAGCAGTTTAGAAGCAATAAAATATGCAGTGCTTACCTCATCATCATTAACAAGCTCTTTTTTCACAACTTTCATTGCATAAATACGATCTGTTTTTTTTAATCGAACCAACAGTACTTTGGCATAACTTCCTCTTCCTATTACCCGGAGCAAATCAAAATCCTGAAGACCTAGACTGGATGAAGCTTTGCCACTTTCCCTGGTGTTCATTGCCTGTTGAGAACATTTGTATCAGAGTTATAATGGGAAATGCTTTGCGTAGTACATTATATTTCTAACACCTAGTTGTACCTATAACGATTTAAAGATATTTTCCTAACATAAAAATATTTTAAGTTCTTAATATTTTTCAAATGTCATTCCAAACCAAATAATCTAACTATCCAGATTATATGGATGAATTTTGAGATAAGAGGGATGGTAATAAGAATGGGGAGGGAGTTGAAATCACAAAAACATCGAAGGATGTCTTAAAAAGGATACGATAACTTTTGGGTACAGAGGCAATAGAGATGCAGGAATTAAAAAAACACATTAACCTTGGTGACCAAGAGATTGGGGGTACCACTGACAGGGAACGTCAAGTGTGTGGCTAGGATAAGATTGACAAAGTTACTGGAGAGAACGATTGGGTTTTTCATGATAAATTCAGAAGTTATAATGAGACATCAAGATGAAAGAGTCTGCTGGAAGCTTGATACATAGAATGTAAGCTAGTGAGAGCACACATTCAGAGGCGTTTTTGGATGCTATAGACAGAAAACAAGCATGAAGTAGTTCAGCGAATGGAAGACATTCTTTTCCACAGAATACCAAGACCCCTTTGGGACGACAAAGTAAGCCTTAAAATTCATTCACAACTACAAATGTAAGCTTCTAGCAATTTACAGAGAAGCCTGAAGACAGTCTTTTATTAGATGCCTGCAAAATCATCAGCACACAATGGACCCATGAGAATAAAGTATGAAATCTCTGAAGTGAAGAATACCAAGAAAAGCAAATAGTAAATTTTGAGAAAGATAAAGAAACCCGCAAGCACAAAACTGAAAGAAGGGTATTAGAAAAACTGAGTGAGAATGACAACTTAAAAACTTAGAAATAATAATTTAGGCTGCGCACAGTGGCTCATGCCTGTATTTTCAGCACTTAGGGAGGCTGAAGCAGGTGGACTGATTGAGCCCAGGAGTTCAAGACCAGCCTGGGCAATGTGCCAAGAAACCTCATCTCTACCAAAATATACAAAAATTAGCCGGATGTTGGTGGTGTGCACTGTAGTCCCAGCTACCTGGGAGGCTGAGGTGGGAGGATCACCTGAGCCAGGCAGGTCAAGGTTGCAGTGAGCTGTGATTGTGCCAGTGCGCTCCAGCCTGCATCACAAAGTGAGACCCTGTCAATAATAGTAATAATAATAATAATTTGATTTGGTAACAAGGTGATAGTTTGTATATCTGACCCCTCCAAATCTCAAATCTCATGCTGAAATGTGATCCCTAGTGGGAGGTGTTTGGGTCACAGGGACAGATTCCTCATGAATGGCTTGGTGTGTTCCTGTGTAATGAGTGAGTTCAGAGTGTGGCACCTCCCCTGACTCCCTTGCTCCCTCTCTTGCCATGTGGCACACCTGCTTCCCCTTTGCCTTCTGCCAAGACTGAAAGCTTCCTGAGAAGCAGATGCTAGTGCAATACTTACTGATCAGCCTGCAGAACCGTGCACCAAATAAATCTTGTATAAATTACCCAGCCTTAGGTATTCCTTTATTCCTTCCTTCATTTATTTATTTATTTAAGAAAAGGTCTTGTTCTGTCACCCAGGCTGCAGTGCAGTGGCACGAACATAGCTCACTGCAGCCATGAACTCCTGGGCTCAAGTGATCCTCCTGCCTCAGTCTCCCAAGTAGCTGGGGCTACAGGCATGTGCCTCCAAACCCGGCTAATTTTTATTTATTTTTTGTAGACATGGAGGGTCTTGCTATGTTGCCAAGGCTGGTCCTGAACTACTGGCCTCAAATGATCCTCCCGGTCTAAAGTCCTAGGATTATAGGTGTGAGCTGCCACACCCAACCTTCAGGTATTCCTTTGTAACAACACAAAACAGACTAACACACAAGGGTAAATACAGCAGAGTGAAAAGAAACCAGGTTTGAGAAGGTTAAGAAAGAAGAGAAGTGTAAGAAAGTAAGTCAACACATAGACTTGAAATATGGCTAACTGGAAACTATAAGAGAGAATCAAGTGGAGCAAAAAAGATAGAGTTAACTTCACCGACACAATAATAAGGCTGAATGAAATGATAGACGCCACTTAACAGTGAAATGTCATCTTCAAAGGGCCTAAAAAAGAAGAAAACAGCTGACCTAGAATTCTCTATCCTGCAAAAGTAGCTCACAAAGTGAAAGTGAAAGAAAAACATTTTCAGACAAAGAAAAACTGAGTGGATCCATCACTACTAGGTGCTCACTAAAGGAAAAACTAAATTGAGTTCTTGAAGGAGAAAATGCATGATCTCAGATGGAGGAACAGACGTAGGAAGGAAAGAAAAACAAAAAGGGTAAAATGTGGGTAAATCTACATAAGGAGTAACTGTTTAAAAAAACAAATATACACACACACAGAATTTTAAACTCTGATAATAATAACACCCAAAGGCAGGAATGGAAAAGGAATGAATTTAAGGTGTGCCAAGGTCACTGCATCTTCTAGAGAAACAGTAAAAGTGTTATTTGTAATTTTCTTTTTTTTTTTTTTTTGAGACGGAGTCTCGCTCTTTCGCCCAGGCTGGAGTGCACTGGTACAGTCTCTGCTCACTGCAAGCTCCGCCTCCTGGGTTCACACCATTCTCCTGCCTCAGCCTCCCGAGCAGCTGGGACTACAGGCGCCTGCCACCGAGCCTGGCTAATTTTTTGTATTTTTAGTAGAGACTATGTTGCCTAGGCTGCTCT
Source organism: Homo sapiens (assembly GCF_000001405.40). Lineage (NCBI taxonomy): Eukaryota > Metazoa > Chordata > Mammalia > Primates > Hominidae > Homo > Homo sapiens. The sequence continues at coordinate 170,277,501 of NC_000003.12, read as the reverse complement.
TGAACTCTCAGGCTCAATCCTTCCGCCTTAGCCTCTCAAAGTGCTGGGATTACATGTGTGAGCCATCACGCCCAAGTTGATTTTTTAGTAACAGCTATTCTGACTGGTGTGAGATGGTATCTCACTGTGGTTTTGATTTCTATTTCTCTGATAATTAGTGACGATGAGTGGTTTTTCATGTGTGTTGGCTGCTTATAGGTCTTATTTTGAGATATGTCTGTTCATGTCCTTTGCCCTTTTTTTTTTCTTTTTTTAAACAGTGTCTTGCTCTGTCGCCCAGGCTGGAGTGCAGTGGCATGATCTTGGCTCATTGTAATCTCCGCCTCCCCAGTTCCAATGATTTTCGTGCCTCAACCTCTTAAGTAGCTAGTATTATAGGTGTGTGCCACCACGCCCTAATTTTTTTTTTTTTTTTGTATTTTTAGTAGACATGGGGTTTCACTATGTCAGCCAGGCTGATCTCAAACTCCTGGCCTCAAGTGATCTGCCTGACTCTGCCTCCCAAAGTGCTGGGATTACTGGTGTAAGCCACCATGCCCAGCCCTTTGCTCATTTTTTAATGGGGTTGTTTTTTGCTGTTAAGTTCCTTATAAATTCTGGATATGAGATCTTTGTTGGATGTATAGTTTGTGACTATTTTCTCCCATTCTTTAGGTTGTCTGTTTATTGGTGGATTCTTTTGCTGCGTGGAAGCTCTGTAGTTTAATTAGGTCCCACTTGTCAATTTTTGGCTTTGTTGCAATTGTTTTCGGAGACTTAGCCAAAAATTCTTTGCCGGGGCCAATGTCGAGAGGATATTTCCTAGGTTTTCTTCTAGGATTTTTATAGTTTGAGGTATTACATTTAAATCTTTATTCCACCTTGAGTAAATTTTTGTATATTGTGATGAGGGTCCAGTGGTGACACATGCCTGTAGTCCCAGCTACCTGAGAGGCTGAGGTGGCTTGAACTCAAGAAGTTGAGGCTGTAGTGAGCCATCATTGCACCACTGCACGGGTGCCTGTGCAATAATCCTGTCTCACAAAAAAAATAAAAAGAAAAAAAAAAGTTAAAAAGAAAAAAAGACTTTTTCAGACAAACAGAACAAGAAACTAAAACATAACATCAAATAGGTGACTAACAGGTTTCTTCAAAATAATACAGGAGTGAGGGAAGTGAGTAGACAAAATAAGGCTAGACATGAATTGATAGCTGTTTTAACTAACAATAGATACAAGGGCTTTGTTATATTATTGTTTACTTTTATTTATGTTTCAAAGTTTTGGCTGGGCATGGTGGCTCATGCCTGTAATCCTAACACTTAGAGAGGCTGATTTGGGAGAACTGCTTGAGGCCAGGAGTTCGGGACTAGCTTGGGCAACATAGTGAGACTCTGTCTCTACAAAATAGAAAATGAAAAAATTAGCTGGGTGTGGTGGCACAGGGCTATAGTCCTAGCTACTCGGGAGGCTAAGGTGGGAAGATAACTTGAGCCCAGGAGTTTAAGGTTGCAGTGAGCCATAATCACACCACTGCACTCCAGCCTGGGCAACACAGCAAGACCCCAACTCAAAAAAAAAAAAAAAAAGAATGATACGGGAAAGAGAGGAGGCAGTGTGAACTAAATCTTTCATGTCCAGAAATACACAAAAATAAAAAATTGAAAAACAGAAATATAAATATTATGGACATAACTAGAAATGGTTTAAAAGGTTGCCAAGAAGCCAAACTGGGAGTGGAAGGTGGGAGACATGATTATCTTTTTCACTATAAGCTTTTTTCAAAAAACTGATTATTATTTTAATCAAATCATTTTAATTATTTGTTTTGTTTTAAAAACTGATAAAATACTTAATAGTCAAAAAAACAATGACAGTTAATATGTTTAATCATTTATTGTCTAAATAAGCAATTCAGGCACAAAACGGAAGGGTCTACTATATATTTTAAACAATACTACCAAGTATTTTAAACAGTATCCTTAAATACATTGTAATTTTCAGATTAAGCTATTTTAAAATGAAAATAAGTTATCCCACTAAATTATTTCCTAGTTTAAATTAGTAATTTAATTACTAAATTAAATCAGAATAAAACTCTGGAATCATTACAAATCATTTTTGCATTTCACCATTATGATCTAAAGTCTAAGCAGGTCAATATGTCATACTTTTAAACTCCTGAGCCTTATTAAAAAGCTAATGATATAATGTACAATAAGACAAATTATCTTACCTCTTTTTCTTCACCAACTTGATCCAAACTCTCATGACTTGAAGGATTATATGGAATTACTAAAAACCCAATACCAAACATTAAAAAAAAAAAAAAAAAAGGTGCAGGAGAAAAAAACAGCAACCATTAATGAGTTTGAAATAAAAATTGTCTCCTGATTTTTATTTTAGTTTTTACTTCTGAATAAATTTTCATTATTTAAAACTGACTATCTGTCCTACTAATAACAAATTGTATGTAAATACAATAGTTAAATCCTAATCTTTAGTGAGGGTAAAGAGAGCAAGCATCACAACCTGGTAGCCAAGTACTGCTTTTAACAAGTACTTTCGTTATTTTTAAAACATTTCTCTTCTTTACAAATTAATCAAACACTTCCTTCTAAACAAATGACTCTATAAGATATGTTTAAATTTTTTAGTATGACTAAGACATAGAGATACAGGACCTCTGGTTTTCACTTCTCACTCCATTGTACTCAGAATTTTCCTAACTACCACAATGGTCAAGTAAAGAACAGACAAGGATGGAACTTCTACTTCTTAAAGCTACTTGGGGCAAAAAAAAAAGAGCCTGCATTTCATAGAGTTGATCATTCTATGACTACGAGATTGCATTTTGTCTTTCCAGAAAAACTCCCTTGTTTTCCCTTTCTTGATTTAGTCCAGAGAAGATCATGCTGTTCTACCTCCTTGCACTGCTCTCCAAATTTCCCAGATACGTGTTTAAGGTTTTGTATCTATCTAACGTTTTCAGTTACACCATCTTCCTGGAATTTCCTATATTGCATCTCTCTATGTTTCACATAATTTCTACTTCTGATAATAAAGCTTTTAATAAAAACAAGTCACTTCAGCTGGGTGCCATGGCTCATGCCTGTAATCCCAGCACTTTGGGAGGCCAAGGCGGGTGGATTACTTGAGGTCAGGAATTCGAGACCAGCTTGGCCAACATGGTGAAACCCCATCTCTACTAAAAATACAAAAAAATTAGCTGGGCATGGTGGCATGAACCTGTAATCCCAGATGCTCAGGAGGCTGAGGCAGGAGAATCACTTGAACCTGGGAGGTGGAGGATGCAGTGAGCCGAGATCACGCCACTGCATTCCAGCTTGGGCAACAGAGCAAGACTCTGTCTCGAAAGAAAAAGAAAAAAGCGAGTCACCTGAACACAGTCAACATGGGCCACAAAATCAGCCTCATGTTTTTCATTATGGAAAAAAACTGAGTTTGCTGAATTTAAAGGCGTCTCAAAAGAAATTTATGTGAACTAGAAAAAATAGTCATTTGTTGTAGTTTACATACTTTTTTTTTTTTTAAATAGAGACAGAGTCTCCCTGTGTTGGCCAGGCTGGTCTTGAACTCCTGAGCTCAAGGGATCCTTCTGCCTCGACCTCCCAAAGTGATGAGATTACAGCCGTGAGCCACCACACCCAGCCCACAGTTGTCTTTTTTTTTTCTCTCTCTCTTTTTTGAGATGGAGTCTTGTTCTGTCACCCAGGCTAGAGTGCAGTGGCATGATCTTGGCTCACTGCAACCTCCAACTTCTGGGTTCAAGCGATTTTCCCGCCTCAGCCTCCTGAGAAGCTGGGACTACAGGAGTGTGCCACCACACCCTGCTAATTTTTGTATTTTTAGTAGAGACGGGGTTTTACCACGTTGGCCAGGCTGGTCTCGAACTCCTGACCTCAGGTGATCCACCTGCCTCAGCCTCCCAAAGTGCTGGGATTACAGGTGTGAACCACCGCACCCAGCCCACAGTTGTCTTTTAAAAATGCCAAATGTGTATGTTAAATAGTGTGACTGATTTCACCACTACAAAATATATGTATTTACTTTTAATTGGGAAGAAGTAAATGTTTTTAAACTTGGGTAAGAGAGTCACCTAAGTAAGTCTTTACATGCTACTCTGTGAATGAACAATGGGTTGTGCCAGCACCACTCTTACCTGTCTGTGCATGGTCAGAATGCATGGATGACTGATCCATGGGCATCACTGGTTCCTACAAACATTTCCAAAGACACAGTAACTCAGTGGAGTACCTCTATTACACCAGAAATAACACTATTTCAACAACACACAGCATATTAAAATTTAATTTTGAAAGAATATAACTTAAGTGAGAATTTACTTTTAATTTTGTTTTATGAAACTATACAATACTGCTGTGAATGAGGTAATGTTAGTCACATTTTACAGAAAAGAAAATACAAAACTAATTTCAGACCACCAATTAGAAATCATATTAAACTGCCATATATTCTGCTTTGCTTCTCTTCAACACTACCTATTCTTCCTTCAAGCTCCACTTCAGATCTTTGGCAAAAATAAGTTTCTGGAATATGCATTCTTTAGCTGGGGTCCGGGGTAGACTTCAGGATGTCTATAACCTCTTAAAATTACATGTAAAATTTTGTGGGTTTCCCATTTTCCTGAAGATTCTCAAGGGTGTCAGTGGCCCCAAAAAAGAGAAAAGAAATACTTTCTAGAATCCAACTTACCCAAATAATGGCGAATAATCTCAGGAAAAAGGTAAATTCAAACCCAAGTTATTACTGATTTATTCTTAGACTCACATTTAATGAATACCAGCAGGAAAAAGTAAACTTGAGAAAGAACATTAATGATACAGTTAGCATTTCAAGGCTGCGTTAAAGAAAGGCTCATAAGTAAGCTTAAGGATTTTTAAAACTTCAATATAATCACTAACCCTGCCCCCTTTCCTTCCATATGTCACCAAAGAATACTCAAAAATATTAATAGTAACCTACATAAATATGTTGGAAATAGTCAGCCTTCTGTTTTTCCTTAAGATTGGATTTTCCCCTTTACTACAAACCCATTCCTAAGCTTATATGAACTAATTAAAGATTCTAATACCAAAGAGCTACCGGTAATAACCTGCTTTCACAATGTCCAAAGCAAGTCCCATGAATAAACATGGAATAACAATTCTAAAGGACAATTTAGAAAGATGCATCCAGGTATTTTTCTTTCTTTTTTTGACTGTTCCTTGTGGAGCAGGGCTAATCGATAGGCAGTGTGCTTAGATAGCTGCATCCAGGTATTTTTTTAAATGCGTATCTTTTAACCCAGTAATTCTAATTCTGGATCCTTAAGGAAGTAAGATTTGCCAGAAAGTTCACTAAGATTGGCCAAGTGCAGTGGCTCACGCCTGTAATTCCAGCACTTTGGGAGACCGAGGCAGGTGGATCACCTGAGGTCAGGAATTCAAGACCAGCCTGGCCAACGTGGCAAAAACCCCATCTCTACTGAAAATACAAAAATTAGCTGGGCATGGTGGCACACACCTGTAATCCCAGCTACTTGGGAGGCTGAGGCAGGAGAATCACTTGAACCTGGGAGGTGGAGGTTGCAGTGAGCCAAGATTGTGCCACTACATTCCAGCCTGGAAGACAGAGCGAGGCTCTGTCTCAAAACAATAACAAAAAAGACACAGGCAAGCACATGTGCCTTCTGGTGGATAAACAACCCTCTGTAAAGTCGACTCAAAAACAATCCACCAAAACAAACAAACCAACCCCAGAATCTAATCAAACCTCGACATCCAACTACTGTACAAGATAAAAGAATAAAGAAGACAATAACATACTGAACATAACCATGGAGAAGTAATGAGCAAAATTTTACAACAGTGTAAATGACAAATAACTGTTTCTTTTACAATTAAATTGTAAGGAAAAAAAGAAGAGAGAGAAATGAAGAAAGAACCAGTAAATTAAAGAATATCTAAGAGATCAATCAATTGTACAAGTGCATTTCATTTGGATCCTGATTCATAATGAAAACTATAAAAACAAAATTATAATATTTATGAGAACACTTACTGGATATTTGACATAAAGAATTTGTTTTTTAGTTAGGTTTTTAAAAAAGTCCTTCTCTTTTAGAGGTACATACTGAAATATGTCTGAGATTTGTTTGAAAATAATACAGGGCAAGGGGAAGTTAAGTGAATGGGGGTACAGATGAAACCAAGATTAGACATGAGTTGATAACTGTTGGAGCTGGATGTCTAGTAAATGGGAGTTCATTATAGTGTTCCACCTACTCTTATACATGTTTACATTTTTTCCATATGGAAAATTAAAAATGTTTATGCATATAAATTTGCACAGGAAAAGTTCTGGAAGGATATCCACCAAATGACAATTACCTTTACATGGTAGAATATATGTGGACTTTTACTTAGTTTTCTTTATTCATCTGTATTCTGTATTTTTTTCGATAACAAACATGTTTTATATATTTAAAATAGAAATTAATAAATAAAAATTTTAAATGCTTTCCTCGCCAGTAATCTCACAGTTTAAATAACAAACATGATACCTTTGACTCTTCTTACCTGATATCTGCTTAGGATAGAAGCTAGAATAATGTGAGCTATAAACTAATACGTTCAGATTAAAGGAGAGGGGGAAAAAACTCTTAAATGGTTCTCTCTATAGCTTCCTAATTTAGACCAGAGGATTTTACAGCAGGTAAAGAAGTTAACTGTGTCCCACAGACAAGTATTACCACAGATATTTCGAAGTTCCAAAGTTCACGGTGTGTTAACAGTAACGTAAGGTATTCCTCCCCATACTCTGTAGCTACTCTGTTGTGCTGTAATTCCTGAACACCTCCCTATTTTAGCACTCTGTTATAGCAGTGTTATCAAGCACGCTCTTAAAAAAAAAAAAAAAAAAAAGGACAGACATCTTACCTGTGGCAAAGAATGCCGCCCACATTCAATTGTGACGAGTTTATGGCACTTCTTATGAACCAAGAGTTTGCAGTTGATGCACTTATATCCTTGGCGTCCAAGTCCCCATATTCGGTCTGTGCAGATGGCACAGTGAGCACGCTGAAAAGAGTAATTCAACAATATTTTATTAACCAAGAAGGTCATAACCATTTCCCAAATAGTTTGCTGACTCAATTCCCTTTGTCACGGTGTCAACTGTCAGCCCACAACAAAAACAAAAACAAAAGCAAAACAAAGCTTCCTCATACATAATTTTTTAAAAGCTATGAAGGTCAGCGAAAAACAGAGCTTATTTTAAAGAGACAGTGAAATCTGCAACCACATTTCTTTCTAAGTCTAAGAATTTTCAGTCTTTACATAATCAAGTTCAAAATAATGAAAACAGAATTAAACTAGAAATATATATGGCAGAAAAAGCCATTGAAGGACTCCTAAGCAAACATAAACCTTGCAGGCTGTTCAGAGGTCAAAACAAAGCTCTGTTTTCTTAAAGAGCAATAACCTAAAGTGACTTCTCATTTCAAAGCCGCCTTCTTCTTCTTTTCTTTCTTTTTTTTTTTTGAGACAGAGTTTCACTCTTGTTGCCCAGGCTGGAATGCAATGGCACAATCTCAGCTTACCGCAACCTCCGCCTCCCGGGTTCAAGTGATTCTCCTGCCTCAGCCTCCAGAGTAGCTGGGATTACAGGTATGCGCCACCATACCTGGCTAAGTTTTGTATTTTTAGTAGAGATGGGGTTTCACCATGTTGGTCAGGCTGGTCTCAAACTCCTGGACCTCAGGTGATCCACCCACCTCAGCCTCCCAAAGTGCTGGGATTACACGTGTGAGCCACCGCACTTGGTCTCTCTTTTTATTTATTTATTTATTTTTAAGAGACAGGGTCTTGCTCTGTCAGCCAGGCTGGAGTCCAGTGGAGTCACTTTGATTCACTGCAGCCTCAACGTCCTGGGCTCAAGCTTCCTGAGTAGCTAGGACTACAGGTGTGTGCCACCATGCCCTGCTAATGATTGTATTTTTTGTAGAGATGGGATCTCACACTACGTTACCCTGGCTGGTCTCAAACTCCTGGGCTTCAGTGTTCCCCCTTCGCAGCCTCCCAAACTGCTGGGATTACAGGCATGTGCCATTGCACCCAGCCTCAAAGCCTTCTTAAATGTCAGTGCTACTGGAAGTAAGAGAGTTTGGAGAGGGATTTCGGGTGGTGGTTTCTATTTACATTAATTAATTACATGGCATTAGTTTTAGAATGGAAATGGCATCCAAAAATTTGCGGTTATCAAGAGTATTTAAAAAATTCGTTTCTGGCCAGGCATGGTGGCTCAAGCCTGTAATCCCAGCACTTTGGGAGGCCGAGGCGGACGGATCACGCGAGGTCAGGAGTTTGAGACCAGCTTGGCCAACAAGGTATAACTCCATCTCTACTAAAAATACAAAAAATAGCCAGGCCTGTTGGCTGATGCCTGTGGTCCCAGGTACTCAGGAGGCTGAGGCACAAGAATCGCTTGAACCCAAGAGATGCAGGTTGCAGTGAGCTGAGACTGTGCCATTGCACTCCAGCCTGGGCGATAGAGCGGGACTCTGTCTTTAAAATAAAAAAAAAATAAATAAATAATAAATGAATAACTGACTTCTGAAGACAGACTGCTGCTTTCAAACTTTGGTTCTATCACTTACTAGCTGTATTATCTTGGGCAAGTTACTGCCCTGCACTTGAGTTTTGCCATCTATAAAGTGGAAACATATAGTACCTATCTTACAGGGTTGTTGTAAGGATGAAATGAATCAATGTATATAAGGCATTTGGAAAAGTGCCTGGTACGTAGTACAACCCAGATAAGTGTTTGCTATTATTATTTTCTAAACAGTGAAAATCAAATTACAACACTAACTGGAAAAATAAAGATTAATATTAAATAAATAAACCTTGCTTGTTTTCTGGTTGCCTTAAATTATATTTTAAAATTCAATTTTCTTACAGCTAGGGTATATTATGTGGAATAATTAATCATCCAATCTGGAGCTTTTTTTTTTTTTTTTTGAAACTGAGTCTTGCTCCATTGCCCAGGCTGGAGTGCAGTGGCACAATCTCGGCTCACTGCAACCTCTGCCTCCCAGACTCAAGTGATTCTCCTGCCTCAGCCTCCCGAGTAGCTGGGACTACAGGTGCATGTGACTGCACCTGGCTAATTTTTGTATTTTTAATAGAGATAAGGTTTTGCCATGTTGGCCAGGCTGGTATGAACTCCTGGCCTCAACTGATCCGGCAGCCTTGGCCTCCCAATGTGCTGGGATTATAGGCCTGAGCCACCACACCTGGCCTGGAGCATTTTTAAGAGTGAAAGAGATGCTATTAAAAATTATAGGCATACTGCCTCAGGCAAACTGGAAATGTAAGGTCATGCTACTTATGTATTTAAAAGTGTATAACAAGACTTAATAACAAACTACCTTTCTTTCATAGTAGAAAGGGAAAAAATAGCTGTTTCACATTATCGACATTCAACAAACTATGTTTACCCTGTTGAAACGCTTGGCTTGGAAAGTGTGGCCATTGGCACAATAAAGCTTTCTCCAGCGGCGTGCACCTCTACGGTAGATGGATTCTGAAGACAGAGTAATAGTTAAAAAAAGAAAAAAGAGCAAGTTTGAGTAAAAATCATTTTATAATTAAGTCTGTAATTTTTTCATGATACTCACTGCAAGAAAAAAAAATACTGATAAAAACCTGAACGTCAAAAAATAAAATAGATTCATCAAGGGACCAAAGAAAAATAAAGACCACAGAGTATAAATATTTGACTACTACTGCCTACTGCTTGTCCTTTTTTTTTTTTTTTTTTTTGGTGAGATGGAGTCTTGCTCTGTCACCCAGGCTGGAGTGCGGTGGCACAGTCTCAGCTCACTGCAACCTCCACCTCCCGGGTTCAAGTGATTCTCCTGCCTCAGCCTCCCAAGTAGCTGAGATTACAGAGATGCACCACCATGCTCAGCTAATTTTGTATTCTTAGTAGAGACAGGGTTTCTCCATGTTGGTCAGGCTGGCCTTGAACTCCCGACCTCAGATGATCCGCCCGCCTCGGCCTCCCATAGTGCTGGGATTACAGGCGTGAGCCAACGCGCCCGGCCTACTACTGCTTTTCTTTTTAAAAATTTTCCTCCAACTTTTTATTTTGAACATCTTTTAATCCCACAGAAAAGGTAAAAGAATAGACACCTGCATCTTTCACCGAGATTTACCAATTATTCATGTTTTGTCATATTTACTTTCATCACTACAAAAAAAATACTTTTTTTTTTCTGAATTACTTGGAAGTAAAATGCAGACATCATGGCACTTAAATACCCTTTAATACCCAAGTATCCATTGTCTGAGATTAAGGATATTCCGCACCCCCCCGCCACCCAATTCTACCTAACCACAATACCATTTACCATGTCTTAGAAAATCAACATTAATTCAATATCAACCAGTATACAATTCATATACAAACTTCCCTAACTGGTCTCAAAGTGACTTTCTTTTTTGAGACACAGTCTCACTCCATCACCCAGGCTGGAGTCCAGTGGTGCAATCTCAGCCCACTGCAACCTCCGCCTCCTGGGTTTAAGCAATTCTCCTGCCTCGGCCACCCGAGTAGCTGGGATTGCAGGTACACACCACCACACCCGGCTAATTTTTGTATTTTTAGTAAAGATGGGGTTTTGCCACGTTGGCCAGGCTGGTCTCAAACTACTGACCTCAGGTGATCTGTCTGCCTCAGCCTCCCAAAGCGCTGGGATTACAGGCATGGGCCACCATGCCAGGCCCCAAAGTGACTTTCAAAGCTCACTTTTTCTATCCAGGATGCAATCAAGATTCAGGGACTGCATTTGATCATGCTTTTTTTGGTCTCCTTAACATTTTAAAACATTCACTCTGCCTTATTTGTTGTTACTTCCTTTTCATTATGTTGACTTTTTTTTTTTTTTAAAGAGTCTGGTTAGTTGTTTCATATTATATCCCACATTCTGGATTTGTCTGTTTACTTACGATTAGAGGCAGTATTAAATACCTTTGGCAAAAATAACACATAGGTAGTGTTGTGTATTTCTTATCTCATTACTTTTCATGAGGTACACAAATGTCGGATTATCAACTCCCACTACTGATGTTCAATAACCATTAAAGGTAGTGACTGCTAGATCTCTTCATTGTAAAGGTACATTTCAGTCTTTGTAACTAATCTGTAAAGTGATATTTTGTACCAGAAGCATATCTTTTTCCCCAACAACTTTTCATCCAGTGGTCTTTATATTAATATGTTTCTCAAATATAGTTAGAGAAAGAGGTTCCAAACGATCAAATCTAGTCCACCTTCATATTTTTAAGTCCATCATTATTTTATATATTGTCTATTAGTCATTAATAATAACATCCCACAGTAATGGTAATAACAGTAATAGTTAATACCATAGAAAGATTACAACAGGTTCCCAAAGTCATATTTTAAAGCAAATATAGCAATGGGTTTACTATTTAAAATTAAGATACTAAAGACCAGTTGCAATGCTCTCAATTAGAAATCTCAGGATAGCTTAATACAGAATTGAAAGTTTAGGCCGGGCGCGGTGGCTCACGCCCGTAATCCCAGCACTTTGGGAGGCCGAGGTGGGCAGATCACAAGATCAGGAGATTGAGACCATCCTGGCTAGCACTCTACTAAAAATACAAAACCCCATCTCTACTAAAAATACAAAAAAAAAAATTAGACGGGCGTGGTAGTGGGCACCTAAAATCCCAGCTACTCAGGAGGCTGAATGGCATGAACCCAGGAGGCAGAGCTTGCAGTCAGCCGAGTTCTCGCCACTGCACTCCAGCCTGGGCGACAGAGCAAGACCATCTCAAAAAAAAAAAAAAGAAAAAGAAAGTTTAGAGCTATTTCGATTAATTCAAAGCAAAGCATTTACCACTATTCCTTCTAAAGTGATGGGCATGTGCAGAAACCACAAATGAAAATGAGTTGCCTAATATCCACAATTAGTAAATTATGCCAAAATACCAAAAGCAATAACTTACAATCAAACATAAGTTTGCATATTAAATTACATTAGAACAAAGAGTAGTTGGACACTCTTAGTTCATCTCATTAATAGTAACCATTGGCTTAGATATTCCAAAGAAATTCCGTTAACAATTCCTGACCTGGGGAAGCTTTTAAATGGTGGTTCTCAAACTTTAGTGTGCATCAGAATCACCTGAAGAGCTTGTTAAATCTGGTAGCTCAGCCCCAGTCCAAGAGTTTATGAATCACGTAGATTGGAGTGCAGTTTTTTTCTTTTTTTTTTTTTTGAGACAGAGTCTCGCTCTGTTGTCCAGATTGGAATGTACTGGCGCGACCTCAGCTCACTGCAACCTCCGCTTCCCAGGTTCAAGCAATTCTCCTGCCTCAGCCTCCCAGGTAGCTAGGATTACAGGTATGCACCACCACACCCAGCTAACTTTTTTAGTATTTTTAGTAGAGATGGGCTTTCACCATGTTGGCCAGGCTGGTCTTGAACTCCTGACCTCAGGTGATCTGCCTGCCTCAGCCTCCCAAAGTGCTAGGGTTACAGGCATGAGCCACTGCACCCAGCCTGGAGTGCAGTTTCTATTCAGTTCTCAGGTGAAGCTGATGCTGTGGGACCCAATGGCTACATTTTGAGAGTCCATTTTAAAATACAAAGATATCCAGATTTCACCTCCACACTAATTCATTAAGCTTGGGGATGGAAATTTGGCATTGATCATTCCCTCCATCCCACAATTTTAATGTGTCCAAGGGTAAGAATCACCGTTCCACTGTGGACTCTGGTTGGTTACCTGAAGTTACTAGGAATTGGAGATCTAATAAATATACACATTTCTCTGGGTCAACTGTAGGAAGTCTGCAATATTTAAAGACATTTAATAAGTGACTTGGGGCCAGGTGCAGTGGCTCACACCTGTAATCACAGCACTCTGGGAGGCTGAGGCAGGTGGATCACCTGAGGTCAGTAGTTCGACACCGGCCTGGCCAACATGGTGAAACCTCAACTCTACTAAAAGTACAAAAATAAGCTGAGCATGGTGTTGGCGCCTGTAATCCCAGGTACTCAGGAGGCTGAGGCAGGAGAATTGCTTGAACCCCAGAGGTGAAGGTTGCAATGAGCCAAGATTGCGTCACTGCACTCCAGCCTGGGTGAGAAAGCGAGATTCTGTCTCAAAAACAACAACAACAAAAGTGACTTAATACCTGTTTAAGTAAAAAACACTGCAGAAAAAAAAAAAGCCAATTCCTAATTACATGTGCTGAGTGTCATGTCAGTCTCAAGTGGTATAACCAAAAAAAAAAAAATGTGTTTGTTATGTATAACTGTGCATGCATATATGAGATATAGACAGATACAGAGATAAAGCAAACAGGGAAAACGTTAAAAATTGGTAAATCTGGGCAAAGGATATATAGGTATCCTTGTTTTCCATGTTGTTTCAACTTCTGTATAGGTTTGAACATTTCCAAAATTGAATTTTAAAACTTAAATTTAACTTAATATTCCTTTCATATGTGCAACAGGCAATCATGTAAGTTGTAACTAAGAACTATCTGAATTTGATCTGGCAAAGTAGCATTTGGGCAGTCACTAATATATTCTAAATTGACTGAAAAATGGAAAAGAAATCAAATGAATTAGAACTTCTATTTCCTTTTTTTTTTTCCCCTTGAGACAAGGCCTGTCTCTGTCACCCACACTAGAGTGCAAGTAGTGCGACCTTGGCTCACTGTAGCCTCAAACTCCTGGGCTCAAGGGATCCTCCCACCTCAACCTCCCAAGTAGCTGAGATTATAGGCACACACCATGCTAATTTTTTTGTGTGTTTTTGGAAAGACAAGGTCTCACTTTGTTGCCCAGGCTGGTCTTGAACTCCTGGGCTTAAGCGATCCTCCCACCTCAGCTTCCCACAGTGCTGGGATTACAGGCATTAGCCACTGTCCACTGCACCTAGCTAAAAATTCTATCTCTGATTTCTTTTTCACTTGTACCATAGCATAGTAACTCTTGTAAAAGGTATGAAGTATATAAACACTCACTATCTTCTCCTGGACAAGGCATCCCAGGACGTTCTGGTACACAAGGGAACACTGAAAGAAAATAAACGAACATGAGTTAACAGCATATTTAAAACATACAAATTACACAGAATTTAAAATTCAAATGTAAAAGAAACTGACCCAGATTTCAACCTGACCCTCTCTTCACTTGAGACAAGATACTTAGCATGTGATCAATATTATTTGCCAAAGGGATTCATTTTACCAAGGCCATATAAAAGAAGGTTTTTTTTTTTTTTTGAGACAGAGTTTCGCTCTGTCGCCCAGGCTGGAGTGCAGTGGCGCGATCTCGACTCACTGCAAGCTCCGCCTCCCGGGTTCACGCCATTCTCCTGCCTCAGCCTCCCGTGTAGCTGGGACTACAGGCACGCGCCACCATGCCCGGCTAATTTTTGTATTTTTAGTAGAGACGGGGTTTCACCGTGTTAGCCAGGATGGTCTCGATCTCCTGACCTCATGATCCGCCTGTCTCGGCCTCCCAAAGTGCTGGGATTACAGGCGTGAGTCACCGCGCCCGGCCACAAAAGAAGGTTTTATTTGCCTTGCTTTGTTGATGTTAAAAAAAAAAAAAAAAAAGAAAGAAAGAAAAAAGTTCTTATGAAAACAAACATGTCTATAAACAATGCATTAGGCTGGGCACGTTGGCTTACGCCTCTAATCTCAGCACTCTGGGAGGCCAAGGTGGGTGGATGACTTGAGGTCAGGGGATGCCAGCCTGGCCAACATGGTAAAACTCTGTCTCTACCAAAAAATACAAAAAAAATTAGCCTGGCATGGTGATGTGCCTGTAATCCCAGCTCCCTAGGAGGCTGAGGCCCGGGAATCACTTGAACCTGGGAGGCGAAGGTTGCAGTAAGCTGAGATCATGCCACTGCACTCCAGCCCAGGTGACAGAATGAGACACCATCTCAGAAACAAAAACAAAAACAAAACAAAACAAAAAAACCAATGCATCAGAAGCTCAAATGACTAATTCCAGTCCCTGTTACATCATGAATTATTTTCTTATCCTTAAAGAAATCATTAACTAATATCGCCTTAAATCCTTGGTATAGTAGGACAAGTTTGTCACAATGAAGGATGAAAATTAAATTACAAAAATGTATACAAATATGGAACATAAAATATTGGTTTTTAAAAGATGTATACTAAACTTAGGAATAAATTAACACCAGAAACAGTACCAAAATCAAAAATGTAAATTTACATTAGAAACTTTAAATGTATATACTAATTAAAACCATTTTTATAACAAGGTAGAATATAAAGCAACAATGTATTTATGAATATCTAGTCAGCTATTCTTAGTCTGTGATGTACTAAAGGACACAGTTTAATAAAGAGCACAGACTATAGGAAGCACAGTTCCTAATGCATATTTTTAAAAGCTGAAACGTAAGCTAGCTTCTGAAAACATCTGTGATGTAGTATTAAAAGGCAATAAGACTTAAAACTGACTGTTTAATACCATTCATCAATCACTTCTTTATGCATTCATTGTAATTTTATTCTGGAAAGAGATGACAAAAAAAATAGACTCTTAAAGCTCTTTTAGAATCTCAACAAAGTACATTATGGATCCCTTGTGAGTCACTATGTCAAATTCTGGAGGTAGAAAAAAATCAGGTCAGGCGTAGTGGCTGACGCCTGTAATCCCAGAACTTTGGGAGGCCAAGGCAGGCAGATCACCTGAGGTCAGGAGTTCGAGACCAGCCTGGCCAACATGGTGAAACCCCATCTCTACTAAAAATACAAAAATTAGCTGGGCATGGTGGTAGGCGCCTGTAATCCCAAGTACTTTGGAGGCTGAGGCATGAGAATCACTTGAACACAGGAGGCCAAGGTTGCAGTGAGTTGAGACTGTGCCACTGCCCTCTAGCCTGGGCAACAGAGTGAAACTGTGTCTCAAATAAAATATAAAATCAAACCACTGTTTTTTTTTTTTTTTTAAAAAAAAAACACTGTAAAGGAAAATACAAAGAAATAATAATAAGGCACTGAAATGATTCATTATACTTAAGGAAAGATTTACATTCGTTTCACTTTTTTAGAAGATTCCTAAGTCTGGTCTCATAGCTCTCAAAAATGTTCAACGAAATACTGTCAATATATTGCAATTAAATGCAGTATATTAAGAGGTTCTTGGCTGGGCATGGTGGTTCACACCTCTAATCCCAGCACTTTGGGAGGCCCAGGTGGTAGGACTCTTTGAGCACAGGAGTTTGAGACCAGCCTGGGCATCATAGTGATATCCGATCTATACAAAAAAAAAAAAAAAAAATTAGCCAGTCATAGTGGTGCGGCAGTGCCTGTGGTCTCAGTTACTCAGGAGGCTGAGGTGGGAGGATCGCTTGAACCTGGGAAGTCAAGGCTGCAGTGAGCTATGACTGCACCAATGCACTCCAGCCTGGGCAACAGAGCGAGAGAAACTGCCTCAAAAAAACAAACAAAAAAAAAGTTTTACATGACTTTTGATGGTTAGCATAGTTGAATGAAACACAAATTTGGAATCAGAATTCCTAGATTCACAATCCAGGTCTACAACGTGCCAGTTACAATGATAACTGAGTTTAGGTTACTTCTTCTATGCCACTTCCTACATCTCAAGGTTGCTGAGGTATAAACATATTAATGTCTCTAAAGCATCATGTAAATGGGCCTGGTGCAGTGGCTCATGCCTGTAATCTCAGTGCTTTGGGAGACCAAGGCAGGCGGATCTCTTGAGGCCAGGAGTTCGAGACCAGCCTGGCCAACATGGTGAAACCCTGTCTCTACTACAAATATAAAAATTAGCCAGCCATGGTGGTGCACACCTGTAATCCCAGCTACTTGGGAGGCTGAGATGCTTGAACCCAGGAGGCAGAGGTTGCAGTGGGCCGAGATCATACCACTGTACTCCAACCTGGGTGACAGAGTGAGACTGTCTCAAAAATAAAGGAATCATGTAAATAGTTTCACTATTAACCTTTAAGCAAAAGAAAGGATATTTAAGATACCTTACCTTTGGAGGTCATTATTTGTATACATAACAAAATTTCAAGTAGATGACTTAGATTCCCCAGGCTCTCAATTTTTAAGTTCTATCATAAATTTGCTGTGATACACTGAGATATCACATTTTAATATCCAACAAGACATACAGAGACCACAAAATTCCCCAGACTATAAGCAGCAGATTAATTTTACCTTCTGTAGCACGTGAGAAACTACTAAATAACGACAATTACTTAGGCATGAGTCACAGAGATTGAGAAAATGACATTAAGATTATGTTTCAAAATGGTGAAGAATAAAGAGTGATTTCAAAGAAATTATCAGTCTGGACGAGTATGAAATGACTACTCTCTTACCATGAATCAAGAGTTCAGAATCCTTGTTTAGCTCATAAAGTCTAAAGGCTTCTTCTAACTCCAACTGAGATGATACTGTACACGGGTCTCCTAAAAAACACAAAAGTAAAGTAAAGGTCACTTTAAAACCCCTAAATGTGATGATTACTAAACAAATTTCATAATGTAAATTTTTAGAAAAAATAATCTCATATTTATAAACAAATATATGACAAGGACAAATATTTATTTACTTATTATTATTATTATTTGGAGACAGAGTTTTGCTCTTGCCACCCAGGCTGGAGTGCAGTGGCATGATCCTGGCTCACTGCAACCTCTGCCTCCCAGGTTCAAGCGATTCTCCTGCCTCAGCTTCCCGAGTAGCTGGGATTACAGGTGTGTGCCACCACACCCAGCTAATTTTTGTATTAGTAGAGACAGGGTTTCACCATGTTGTCCAGGCTGGTCTTGAACTCCTGACCTCAGGTGATCCGCCTGCCTCGGCCTCCCAAAGTGCTGGGATTATAGGCGTGAAGCACCGTGCCTGGCCTAAGGACAAATATTTAGATATTTATTTAGACAATTCAATTTTCTGAAGTAGGTAACATATAACTTCCATTTCTATTTGCATAAAAATACCACATGAGGTTCACAGACACCAATGTATATAGATATAAAATTTTGTTCTTTGGTTTTCTTTTTTGGTGAGACAGGGTCTCACTCTGTCACTCAAGGCTGAATGCAGTGACATGATCACGGCTCACTACAGCCTCGACCTCCTGGGCTCAAGCAATCCTCCCGCCTGGGCCTCCCAAAGTGCTGGAATTATGGGCATGAGCCACCACACCTGGCCATTTTGTTCTTAACATTGTATATATCCCAAATACAGCAAACAGAATCTATTCCTGACCACATTTTTTTTCTTTTTTTTTGAGATGGAGTTTGGCTCTTGTTGCCCAGGCTGGAGTGCAATGGTGTTATCTTGGCCCACTGCAACCTCCGCCTCCTGGGTTCAAGCGATTCTCCTGCCTCAGCCTTCCAAATAGCTGGGACTACAGAAGTGCACCACCATGCCTGGCTACTGACCACAGTTTAAATTGTCACTGCTATGTGTCTAATGGGAAAGTCTAAAGAGGAGGCTTTCTGTTACCTGTTTCTTTAAAAGAGGAAGTGAAAGTAGTTCCATTGCCACAATACGATTAGTTAGAAGTCTCCATGTAATCATTTTATCAAATTTTTCCTTTCACATGACAGAGCCTCCTCAAAGGAGTCACAGAAATGAAAAGCTACAAAAGTACTGAAGAACAGTTGCACTTGAGCTGCTGTGAAATATAAATGAACAGTTTTAGTAACAGACACACAGAAGTGATGGAAAAAACACCTCCCTTACCCAACTAGCCAGACAACTGAGTCATCCCTGGCGATCAATGAGGTGGCACATCTGCCTGGACTATGGCATTCCTCAGTGAAAAAGTCATTCAGGCCAGGTGTGGTGGCCTGTAATCCCAACAGTTTGCGAGGCCGAGGCAGGCGGGTTGAGGTCAGGAGTTCGAGACCAGCCTGGCCAACATGATGAAAGCCCATCTCCACTAAAAATACAAAAATTAGCCAGGCACAGTGGTGTGTGCCTGCAGTCCCAGCTACTCGGGAGGCTAAGGCAGAAGAATCGCTTGAACCTAGGAAGCAGAGGGTGTAGTGAGTCAAGATTGTGCTACTGAACTCCACCCTGGGCAACAAAGCAAGACTGTCTCAAAAAAAAAAGAAGTCATTTAAAGCCTAGTTTGGACCTGAGCGAGTGAAAGTGAGTCCTTCACTCTGCCATTGATTTGCTAATTCCCATAGTTACTACACACTAGATGCCACCAACCCTATCCAAACCTCAATCACCAGCATACAGCTTGGTCTGCTAATTGAGAAAGAAAAACAAAGTCATTTTTTCCTGGCTACTCAAAGAAAAGAGTGCCTCTCCTTTTTTTTCTCCCACTTGACCACTGCATCCCTACTTCCTTTTATCTTCTCTGAGCTCCTCTGTTCCATTTTTTTCTTTCCTTCTATTTCCTAGCTCTTCTCAGGCAAAGGCGTTTCTGAGTCTCCCTCTCAAAAACCTCTTTCAGGCCAGGTGCAGTGGCTCACACCTGGAATCCCGGCACTTTGGGAGGCCAAGGTGGGTGGATCGCCTGAGGTCAGGAGTTTGAGACCAGCCTGGCCAACATGGTGAAACCCCGTCTCTACGAAAACACAAAAATTAGCTGGGCGTGGTGGCACGTGCCTGTTGTCCCAGCTACTCAGGAGGCTAAGGCAGGCGAATCGCTTGAACCTGGGAGGCGGAGGTTGCAGCGAACCGAGATCACACCATTGCACTCCAGCCTGGGCAACAAGAGCGAGACTTTGTCTCAAAAAAAAAAAAAAAAAAATTCTCTTTCCCATTCAGATTGACACTCCATTCATTCAGTAGCCACAAATCTCAAGAGTAAAACTAGAGACTAAAACTGGAGGAAACAGGTGAGAAGATGAGAAAGGAAAAGGGGCAGGGTTTTTTTTCACTTCATACTTCTCTTTAATATTTTAAAAATCATAAGTTTGTAATCTTTTATAATGAAACAACTTTTTTTCACATAGTGATCATATCCTTTCTCCATGTTCTTACCTTCCACACATTTCTCAAAATGCTGCTGCCAGGTTTTAGCCCAAACACTCCACCAAAACTGCGGTTGCAAAGGTCATGAAACCAGCTGCTGAAACCTATGACATCTTTTCAGTCCTTATTCTAGGTGATCTCTCTTGCAGTCCCTGACAAAGTTGCCCACTATTAAGAAATCCTGTGTCTCGGTTTCTAAAACACTATTCTCTAGGTTCACCACCTGTTCTTTTTAACTGTTTAATCTGGAAAATTTGAAACATATTTCAAAATGTTGTTTTCCCCTATATACCCACCCACTTATTCTCTACCATGGCAGCATTCTAAGAAAATCTCTATAACTCTAGATAAAAACTCCTTAGTATAATCCAAATATTGTTACTAACCTACAAAAACTAACAAGTATCTTCTCTGACCACAATGGAACAAAACTAGAAATCAGTAACAAGATGGACTTTGGGAACTACAAAAACACATGAAAGTTAACAATATGCCCCTTATTAAGCAGGGGGTCAATACAAAATTAAGAAAAAAATTGAAAAATTTCTTGAAAAAAATGAAAATAGAAACACAACTACTACCAAAACCAATGGGATACAGTGAAAGCAGTACTAAGAGGTGAGTTTATAGCAAGCAATAAGTGCCCACATCAAAAAAAGGAGAAAGGCGCTAAATGAACAAACTAATGATGCATCTTAAAGAACAAGAAAAGCGAGAGCAAACCAAACACAAAATTAGTAGAAGAAAAGAAGTAATAAAGATCGGGGCAGAAATGAATGAAATTGAAACAAAACACACAAAAGATCAACAAAATGTAAACTTGATTTTTTTGAAAAGACAAATAGTATCAACAAACCTTTAACCGGACTAAAAATAAAAGATACAAGACCCAAAGAAATCAAATCACAGATGAAAAAGGAGACAATACAACTAATACTGCAGAAACTCAAAGGATCATTAGAGGCTACGATGAGCAACTATATGCCAACAAATCAGAAAGCCTAGAAGAAATGGATAAATTCCTAGACACATACAACCTACCAAGATTGAACCATGAAGAAATCCAAAGCCTGACTAGAGTACTAACAAGTAATGAGATCGAAGCCATAATAAAAAGTCTCTCAGCAAAGAAAAGCCCAGGATCCAATGGCTTCAGTGCCATTTAAAGAAAAACTAATACCAATCCTACTCAAAATATTCCAAAATATGGAGGAGGAGGGAATAGTTTCAAACTCATTCTAAGACCCAGTAATACTCATCAGTATTACTAAAACCAGACAAATATGTCAAAAAGAGAGAAAACTACAGGTCAATATCTCTGATGAACATTGATGCAAAAATCCTCAACAAAACACTAGCAAACTGAATTCAACAACACATTAAAAAGATCATTCATCATGACCAACTGGAATTTGTTCCAGGGATGCAAGGATGGTTCAACACATGCAAATCAATCAACGTGATATATCACATGATAGAACAGAATAAAACATGATACAACAGAATAAAGGACAAAAATCATACTATCATTTCAATTGATGCTAAAAAAAGCATTTGGTAAAATTCAACATCCCTTCATGACAAAAATCCAAAAAAAACTGGGGATAGAAGGAACATACCTCAACACGATAAAAGCCATATAAGACAGACCCACACCTAGTATCATACTGAATGGGAGAAAATTGAAAGTCTTTCTCTAAGATTTGGAACAAGACAAGGATGCCCACTTTCACCACTATTATTCAACATAGTAATGGAAGTCCAAGCTAGAGCAATGAGACAAGAGAAAGAAATAAAGGGCATCCAAATTAGAAAAGAAGAAGTCAAATTATCCTTGTTTGCAGATGATATCATCTTATATATTTGGAAAAACCTAAAGACTCCACAAAAAAACTATTAGAACAGATAAACTAATTCAGTAAAGTCGAAGGATATGAAATCACCACACAAAAATCAGTAGCATTTCTATATGCCACAGCAAATAATCTGAAAAAGTAATCAAAAAAGTAATTCCATTTACAGTAACTGCAAATAAAAAAATACCTATGAATAAGTATCACAAAAGAAGTGAAAGATCTCAGCCAGGCGCGGTGGCTCACACCTGTAATCCCTGCACTTTGGGAGGCCGAGGTGGGAGGATCACCTGAGGTCAGGAGTTCGAGACCAGCCTGACTAACATGGAGAAACCTCGTCTCCACTAAAAATACAAAATTAGCCAGGCATGGTGGTGCATCCCTGTAATCCCAGCTACTCGGGAGACTGAGGCAGGAGAACCACTTGAACCCGGGAGGTGGAGGTTGCAGTGAGCTGAGATCGTGCCATTGCACTCCAGCCTGGGCAACAAAAGTGAAACTCTGTCTCAAAAAAAAAAAAAAAAAAAAAAGTGAAAGATCTCTTTCTTTACAATGAAAATCATAAAATACTGATACAAGAAACTGAAGAAGACATACACATTAAAAAAAAAAAAGGAAAGATATTCCATGTTCATGGATTGGAAGAATCAATACTGTTAAAATGTCCATACTACTGAAAGCAATCTACAGATTCAGTGTAATCCCTATCAAAATACCAATAACATTCTTCACAGAAATAGAAAAAAATCATTGTAAATTTATATGGAACCACAAAAGACCCAGAATGGCCAAAGCTAGCCTGAACAAAAAGAACAAAACTGGAGGGATCACATTCTATGCCTTTAAATTATACTACAAACTGTAGTAACCAAAGCAGGATGGTGCTGGCATAAAAACAGACACATAAACCGATGGAACAGAAGAGAGAACCCAGAAATAAATCCATACATCTAGAGTGAACTCATTTTTTACAAAGGTGCCAAGAACATAACACTGGGGAAAAGACAGCCTTCAATAAATAAGACTGTCAATAAATAGTGCTGGGAAAACAAGATATCCACATGCAGAAGAATGAATGAAACTAGACCCCTATTTCTCGCCATATACAAAAATCAAATCAAAATGAATTAAAGACTTAAATCCAAAACCTCAAACTATGCAACTACTAAAAGAAAAAACTGTGGAAACTCTCCATGACACTGGTCCAGGCAAGTAATTCTTGAGTAGCACCCCGCAATCACAGGTAATCAAAGCAAAAATAGGTAAGTGGGATCACATCAACTTAGGTTTCTGCAAAACAAAGCAATCAAAAAAATGAAGAGACAACCCACAGAATGGGAGAAAATATTTGCACACTATGCATCTGACAAAGGATTAATAACCAGAATAGACAAGGAGTTCAAACAACTCAATAGGAAAAAAAAAACCTAATAATCTGATTAAATAATGGGCAAAAGATATGAATAGACATTTTTCCTTTTTTTTTTTTGGAAACGGATCTTGCTCTGTCACCCAGGCTGGAGTGCAGTGGCGTAATCTTGGCTCACTGCAACCTCTGCCTCCTGGGTTCAAGTAGTTCTACTGCCTCGGCCTCCCAAGTAGCTGGGATTGCAGGCACGTGCCACCATGCCCAGCTAATTTTTGTAGTTTTAGTAGAGACAGGGTTTCACCATGTTGGCCTGGCTGGTCTGGAACTCCTGACCTCAAGTGATCCGCCCGCCTCGGCCTCCCAAAGTGGTGGGATTACAAGCGTGAGACACCATCCCTAGCCCTGAATAGACATTTTTTTTTATTTTAGATGGAGTCTTGCTCTGTCGCCCAGGCTGGAGTGCAGTGGCACGATCTCGGCTCACTGCAAGCTCTGCCTCCCAGGTTCATGCCATTCTCTTGCCTCAGCCTCCTGAGTAGCTGGGACTATAGGCACCTGCCACCACGCCCGGCTAATTTTTTGGATTTTTAGTAGAGACGGGGTTTCACCATGTTAGCCAGGATGGTCTCGATTTCCTGACCTCAAGATCTGCCCACCTCAACCTCCCAAAGTGCTGGGATTACAGGCGTGAGCCACTGTGCCCGGCTCCTGAACAGACATTTTTAAAAGGAGACATACAAACGGCAAACAGGTATATGAAAGGGTGTTCAACATCATTGATCATCAGGGAACTGCAAATCAAAACTACATCAAGATATCATCTCATTCCAGTTAAAATGGTTTTTATCCAAAAGAGAGGCAATAACAAATGCTGGAAAGGATATGCAGAAAAGGGAACCCTCACATGCTGTTGGTGGGAATGTACTTTAGTACAGTCACTATGGAGAACAGTATAGAGATTTCTCAGAAAACTAAACACACACCTACCATATGATCCAGAAATCCCACCACTAGATATACACCCAAAAGAAAGGAAATCAGTATATTGAAGAGATATGTACACTCCCATATTTATTGCAGCACTATTCACAATAGCCATGATTTGGAAGCAACTTAAGTGTCTAGCAATACAATGGGAGTACTATTCAGCCACAAAAAAGAATGAGATCCTGTCACTTGCAACAACATGGATGAAACTGGAAGACATTGTGTCAAGTGAAATAAGCCAGATACAGAAAGACAAACCTTATGTTCTCACTCATTTGTGGAAGCTAAAAATTAAAACAGTTGAACTCATGGAGATAGAGAGTAGAATGATAGCTACCAGAAGCTGGGAACGATAGTGGTGGAGAGTGGGTACAAAACTATACTCACACAGAATGAGTAAGATCTAGTATTTGGTTCAAGACCACCCCGGGCAACACAGTGAGACCTCCATCTCTACAAAAAATTTTAAAAAACAGCCAGGAATGGTGGCTCAAGCCTGTAGTCTCAGTAGGCTGAGGCAGGAGGACTGCTTGAGCATGGGAGGTCAAGGCTGCAGTGAGCTGTGATCATGCTACTATACTCCAGCCTGAGCAAGAGTGAGACACTGTCTCAGAAAAAAAAAAAGGTTAGAAAAAGTAAAAAAGAAAAAAAAGATCTAGTACTTGATAGCACAACAGGGTAATTACAGTCAACAAAATTTATTGTATATTTAAAAATAACTAAAAGAGTATAATTGGAATATTTGTAACACAAATAAATGATAAATGCTTGAGGTGATGAATATCCCATTTACGCAACATGATTATGCACTGTATGCCTGCATCAAAATAGCTCATGTACCCCATAAACACATACACCTACTATGTATCCATTAAAATTAAAGTAAAAAATTAACAAAAAAAAGTCTGCCCATTTAAAATTTGGCCAAGTATTTCCAACTGTCCTCCAAAAGAGTTATGACACATACATTCATTCAACCAACAGGGTATCTTTCCTAATTTCTTTTTTTTTTTTTTGAGACGGAGTCTCGCTCTGTCACCCAGGCTGGAGGGCAGTGGCGCAATCTCGGCTCACTGCAAGCTCCGCCTCCCAAGTTCATGCCATTTTCCTGCCTCAGCCTCCCCAGCAGCTGGGACTACAGGCACACGCCGCCACGCCTGGCTAATTTTTGTATTTTTAGTAGAGACAGGGTTTCTCTGTGTTAGCCAGGATGGTATCGATCTCCTGACCTCAGGATCCACCCACCTCGGCCTCCCAAAGTGCTGGGATTACAGGCGTGAGCCACCGCACCCGGCCAATCTTTCCTAATTTCTTTTTTTTTTTTGAGACAGTCTTGTTGTTGCCCAGGCTGGAGTGCAGTGGCGTGATCTCGGCTCACTGCAACCTCCACTTCCTGGGTTCAAGCAATTCTTCTGCCTCAGCCTCCTGAGTAGCTAGGACTACAGGCGCCCACCACCATGCCCAGCTAGTTTTTGTATTTTTAGTAGAGACAGGGTTTCACCATGTTGGCCTGGCTGGTCTTGAACTCCTGACCTCAAGTGATCCACCTGTTTTGGTCTCCCAAAGTGCTGGGATTACAGGTGTGAGCCACCACACCTGGCCCTAATTTCTTAGAGATAATTACTAAATTCTGTATTTTCCAGTCCAATAGGTGAAAAGTAATGTCTCACTTTAATATTTCAAAACTTCTTTAATTATTAGTGATTTTTGAGCCTGTTATTTATGAATTGACTATTTATACCTCATTATGTAGATTTTTCATCTATTTCTTCTTGGCATTTATTGTACAATAGAGATAGTAATCCTTTGTTGTAAATGTTGCAAATATTTTCTCTCAGTTGTTACTATTCCTGTATACAACATTAGGAAAAGTCTTCTCTTTCCAAACTTTCTTTTTCAAAATTTTCCTGTTTATTGTTGAGCATTTATTTTTCCTGATGAAATTTTTGTCAGATTTAAAATCCTGTTGGAAATTTGGGAGAAATGTTTTCTTCACAGATTGATATGCAGGGAATTCACTTTGTATAATGTTGCTTTTTCCCAAACCATTCATTCAAGTTTCGTTTTATGACACTCAATTGAGTTTCTTGTTTCTTTATATAGTTTCTTCAAATTTCTCTAAGGTTTATTACTAGATTTTTTTTAAAACCTATTTTTATGTCGCTACTGTGGATTAAATATTTTCTTTGAATATACTTTCTGATTGAGTATTTTCAATCTGTAGGAAGGAAAGTTACTGGTTTTCATATGCTCATTTTATAAGTCTTAGTATTGATATTTTAAGAGGCTAGATGAAAGAGAGTGAGGTCAACATGATTTAACCACACTACACAGGTACACTATTTTTGATCAAAACTCAGTACACTGATAAATAACAAGTCTAAGTGTATATAGAGAAATTGGAATTCTCATACACTGCTGGTAGGAAGGTAAATGGTGTAGCCACTCTGGAAAACTGGCAGTTCCTCACAAGGTTAAACAGTTACCATATGAAATGAAAACATATTCACACAAAAAGTTGTAACCAAATGTTCGTAGCAACATTACTCACAATAGCCAATTGTCCATCAATTGATAAATGGATAAATAAAATATGTATATCCATACAATGGAATATTATCCACCCATAAAAGGAATTAGTAATGACACTGTATAGGAAATGTCTAGAATCAGTCTATCTGTAGAAACATATCGTGGATTAGTGGTTGTCTAGGTCTGGGGCCTGCAGAGAAAGGGGTAGGGGGGAAACAAGTAGCAACTGCTAATAGACACGAGATTTTTTTTTGGGGGGGGGGGGTTGGTAATGAAAATGTTCTATAATTGATGGTGATAACAGCTGCACAACTCTGTGATTATACTAAAAACCAATGAATTGTACACTTTACATTGGTGAATTATATCTTAGCAAAGTTGTTTTTTTTTTTTAAAGAATGTGGAGTCTAGCTTTTTTTTTTTTTCAGACCAAGTCTCACTCTGTCACCCAGGCTGGAGTGTGGTGGTGACACCTCGGCTCACTGCAACCTCCAGCTCCCAGGTTCAAGTGATTCTCCTGCCTCAACCTCCCTAGTAGCTGGGATTACAGGTGTGTGCCACCACGTCCAGCTAATTTTTTTGTTTTTGTATTTTTTTAATAGCGACAGAGGCCAGGCTGGTCTCAAACTGCTGACCTCAGGTGATCCACCGGCCTAGGCCTCCCAAAGTGCTGGGATTATGGGTGTGAGCCACCATGTCTGGCCAGAGTCTAGCATTTTTACAAAAGTAAGTTTGCCTGCAAAGTAGCATTCTAGTCCAGGAGCAAAGTTTACAAATCTGTTTTATTTTTCCTCAAAGAAATAAAGTAATTCATTAAAAAAAGACTCCCTTTTTCAGTTACGTAAATTTATCTCATTTTGCCACAAATATGAAAGTTGGTATCATTTTTTTTTTTTTTTCTGAGACAGAGTCTCACTCTGTTGTCTAAGCTGGAATGCAGTGGCATGATCTTGGTTCACTGCAGCCTTGACCTCCCAGGCTCAAGCCATCCTCCTACTTCAGCCTTCCAAGGTGGGAGCTGAATCCCACAGGCTCATGCCACCATGCCTGGCTTTTTTTCCTTTCTTTTTTTGTAGAAACAGCGTCTCCCTATGTTGACCAGGCTGGTCTTAAACTCCTAGGCTCAAGCAATCGTCTCACCTTGGTCTCCAAAAGTGCTGGGATTACAGGCGTGAGCCACCACGCCCAGCTAACACTTCATTTCTAATGTTCCAGGTGAGAAAACTGAGTCCAGACTGTTTTTTAAACAAGATATACATACACACATAAACGCACACACGCACTCTCTCTCTCTCTCCTTTCTCTCTCTCTCTCTGTCGTAAATGATACCAATGAGTGTTTTATAAGCATCCTGGCTTTTCAAAATCTAAACATTAAAACCTTAAGTCCAAATTTCCCTAGACTCGCTGGCTGATTTTGATGTCCCAGAAAGCAAAAAAAAAGATTGAACCAAATCAAATACATAGCAAACTGTGATTTCCACATTTCAAGTGACTTCTGCAGTTAGGATGATTTTACTGTAGTAGTCTATAATGAAAAAAGCCAATTCTGGCCGGGCGCGGTAGCTCATGCCTGTAATCCCAGCGCTTTGGGAGACCGAGGTGGGCAGATCACGAGGTCAGGAGATCGAGACCATCCTGGATAACATGGTGAAACCCCGTCTCTACTGAAAATACAAAAAAATTAGCCAAGCGTGGCGGCGGGCACCTGTAGTCCCAGCTACAAAGGAGGCTGAGGCAGGAGAATGGCATGAACCTGGGAGGTGGAGCTTGCAGTGAACTGAGATCATGCCACTGCACTACAGCCTGGGTGACAAAGCAAGACTCCCTCTCAAAAAAAAAAAAGAAAAGAAAAAGAAAAAAGCCAATTCTGACCATCTCACTTTTGCTGTACATCATCTTTTTATCAGGCCAGTATCTGCTTGCTGTTAGTTAAAACCTAAGCCAGATCAAGTACTTGCTTTCAAAATGTACCTAGAGACCAACACTTCTGAATAACCATAAGGAAGTATGAAAATAAGAGTTACTGATTCTACGTATGTTCAAATCCATTTTGTTTTTCTTGGACTGAATGTTCAAGTATTACCTGTTTCGGCCAACTGCTTAATGCTTGATAAAACTCAATGCATAAGCGTGAAGCAAAACATTCCATGCAGTCATCATGAAACTAAAATGAGCAGAAAAGCTATTTCTCAAAGCCCACTCTATTACAAAAGTCTAAATTCACATCCTAGAGCAGGAATACATCCAGAGTGAGAATTGTTCAGTGCAGTGAACTTCAAGGTAATGAAATCTGTATATTAACCAGCAGGTTTTTTCCCCCCCCCAATATATCTACTGTTTTTGTTTTTGTTGCTGCTGTTGTTCTTTACCTACAAAAAGAAAGCAGCAAATTAGGGCATTAGACCTCAAAAAGTTAGGTAAATATTCACAATCCAATTATTTATATGAGATAACCTGACAGGATGTAGAACATGAAACATATATGTAACTCTTGTTTTATTTAGTTATTTCAGTATATGCCTAAATTCAGTGCCCCACATTTCAAAGAACACAGCCTAATACCAAAGTTGGCAACCTCTGAGACAGTATCACACATTCTTCTCCCTGATGTCTGAGTTAGCCACAGACTCACAGACTCTCACTCTCTGTTCCCACTAGGACCTTCGTACTGCCATCCTGCCTCTGGATATGCAGTCAGAACACTAAACCACTTGCAAAAGTCACTGTACTCCCTTACTGTAAAGGGTTACACTGCTTAAAATACAGATTTGCAAAAATTTTCCAAGGATGCCATAATTTTTAGGTGGTCATCCTTTCACTATCAGGCCCAATAACAACAGTAGTGAATTTTTGGCTTGTTGCTTCCTTTTTCTGGGAGGTGGAAGTCAGTGGTTACAGAAATACATGCCATCCCATGAAGCCGCTCATCCTCAACTTTTTTTTTTTTTTTTTTTTTTTTTTTTTTGAGACAGAGTTTTGCTCTTGTTGCCCAGGCTGGAGTGCAATGGCACGATCTTGGCTCACTGCAACCTCCACCTCCCAGGTTCAAGTGATTCTTCTGCCTCAGCCTCCCAAATAGTTGGGATTGCAGGCATGCACCACCACACCCAGCTAATTTTGTATTTTTAGTAGAGACGGCATTTCTCCATGTTGGTCAGGCTGGTCTCGAACTCCCGACCTCAGGTGATCCGCCCGCCTCTGCCTCCCAAAGTGCTGGGATTACAGGTGTGAGCCACCGCATCCAGCCTCAACATTCACATCAGGAGAGATGAAGTAATAGGAATAGACATAACCCTCCCTCTAAAACAATTTTAAAACACTGGATTAAACAGTGGTTTAAGGCTAGCTGCAGTGGCTCACGCCTGTAATCCCAGCACTTTGGGAGGCCAAGGTGGGAGGATTGCTTGAGTCCAAGAGTTCAAGACCAGCCTGGGCAACATAGCAAGATCCCATCTCTATTTAAAAAAAAAACTAAAAAAGTAGCTGGGCATGGTGGCGCACACCTACTTGGGAGGCTGAGGTGGGAGGACTGCTTGAGCCTGGGAGGTCAAGGCTGCAGTGAGCCATGACTGTACCACTGCACTCCAGGCAAAGACTCTGTCTCCAAAACAAAACAAAACAAAAAAGTCTTAAAAGCAGCCAAAGAGATGCTTCACATACAGAAAGGAAGTTGATAGCAGATTTTGCATCAGAAACAATGCAAGCTATAAGACAGGGTACTGAACGAGAAAAAAAAACAAAAACTTCCAACCTGGAGTTATTTACCAATCACAATCATCTTTCAAAAACACAAAAACAAAGGTGACCAAGCATAGGTAAATTCATAGACAGAAAGTTTAATACAGGTTACTAGGGACTGCAAAAGGAGGGATAGGGAGTTATTGTTTAATGGGTACAGTTTCTGATTGGGATGGTGAAAAGTTCTGGAAACAGAAGGATACTGTTAATAGTTGTACAACACTGTGAATGTGCTTATACCACTGAACTGTACACTTAAGAGTGGTCGAACTGGTAAATTTTCTTATTTATATTTAATTACAATAAAAAAATTTTTAAAGGGTACACTAGTTCTCTAACTACATTAACAGATCTCAAGACATCTGCTGGGCATGGTGGCTCATGCCTGTAATCCTAACACTTTGGGAGAGCAAAGCGGGAGGATCACTTGGGCTTAGGAGTTTTGAGACCAGCCTGGGCAACATAGCAAGACTCTGTCTCTACAAAAAATAAAATAAAAAATTTAGGCTGGGCCCAGTGGCTCAGCCCTCTAATCCCAGCACTTTAGGAGGCCGAGGCGGGCGGATCACTTGAGGTCAGGAGTTCAAGACCAGCCTGGCCAACATGGCAAAACCCTGTTTCCACTAAAAGTACAAAAATTAGCTGGGCATGGTGGCAGGCGCCTGTAATCCCAGCTACTCAGGAGGCTGAGGCAAGAGAATCACTTGAACACGGGAGGCGGAGGTTGCAGTGGGCTAAGATCATGCCACTGCACTCCAGCCTGGGCGGCAAGAGCGAGCACTACAGCCTGGGTGACAAGAGCGAGACTCTGTCTCAAAAAGAAAAAAAAGAAAAAAAATTAGCTGGGCGTGGTGGAGCACTCCTGTAGTTCCAGCTACTCGGGAGGCTGAGGCAGGGGGACTGCTTTAGCCTGAGAGGTAGGCTGCAGTGAGCCATGATCACACCACTGCATTCCAGCCTGGGTGACAAAGAAAGGATTTGTGTCAGAAAAAAAAAAAAAAAAAAAAACAAAGACATAACATCCAGGGAAAAAAGAGACATTTCAGAATATGGGATATATAATGTCATTTATTAAAAAGTACAAAAACACTGTGCTTGAGCCAGGAGTCATGGTGTGCATCTGTAGTTTCAGCTAGGAGGACTGCTTGAGCCCAGGAGTTGGAGGCCAACCTGAGCAACACAGTGAGATCCTGTCTTTCAAAAACAAAAAAACCCACTATATTTTGTCATTTATATGTATGGAATAGTGACAGAAAGCAGATCAGTGATTGCCTAGGGATGGAGAAGTGAGAGTAAGGAGAAAACAGTGTGGGGATCATAAGTGTATCCCGTGTGAACAGTGGTCTATGAGGGAGAGGAAGAAGACAGGGCAACTGGAGACGGGATGCCAATGAGGAGGACAGACCTTCCCAGATACTGGAGCAGATGATAGCATCTAAGGTCCCCAATACCGCCTCAAGACCCCCATAGCCTCTCTTGCCTCATAAATAAAAAACTGTTTCTCCACTCACAATGCTTCCGACACCAGATGTGTGAGTTTTCCAGAAGCAAATCTATTCTCTGTGGAGACCAATCGAGCGTCCTACAATTTAATTAAATTCTGACACCACCTGGAGTTAGCACAGACCCCCGTAGGTTTAGGGCTCAGTCCCACAGACTACCCCCAACTTCAGATGCTAATTGCAAGTAGTGGATCCTCAAATTAGCCACAAATCAGTCAAATTAGTCTGACTTGGCTACAAACTGGGCATTCCCATGTTGGGACTCAGTAACCAATACCTCAGGGTCTCTCTGACTTCCCCCAACCACCCACCCCTACAACTGACTTCTCCCAAAGTCAGAATGACGTTCTCTGAAGTTCCTTTATCGCCTAAAATCCAGACCCACCGAGAACAACTGTTTTGCATTCCCCTCCCAGTAAGACCAAGAATGTAATCACACCTGAACAGATCCTTCCACAAGATAATGTACAAGTTAATCTCCCTTCCCTGATCCATTCATTCTTCCTAGTAATCCTCACAACAGAATTCCTCTTCTCCCTTCTCCTATAACCTGTTTTATTTAATTAATTAATTTTTTAGGCTAGTCAAGTGAAGCAGTGGGAGTGGAAGGAACAAAGAAATCTGTAACTGGCTGTGATCAATTAGCTGTAAACACCACTGCACCTGGACCAGCCATATAACCTGTTTTGCCAGGATATTATACATGCTTCCGAACCCCATTGGGGGGTGAGTAATCTCTGTGGTTCCCCCGTGTACATGTAATAAAATCTGTATGACTTTTCTCCAATTAATCTGCCTCTTGTGAGTTGATTTTTCAGCAAACCTTTGGAGATCAATGGGGAAGCTTTTCCCTGGCCCCTACACCCACAACCCCCTCCTCATGTTAAACAATTTGCTACAAAAACACTTTATTATAAAGGATATTATAAAGGATACAAATGAACAGCCAGATGAAGAGGTAATGGGACAAGGTACGGGGGGACACAGAGCTTCCAAGCCGGGTCCAGATGTACCACCCTCCCAGGACCTTGATTTGTTCACCGAGCAGGAAGCTCTCTGAACCCCTACATTTTGAGTTCTTAAGGGGGTCCCATTACCTAAGCAAGACTGATTAAACCACTGGCTGCTGGTGATTAACTCCATCTCCAGGCCCCTCTGCCCTCCTCAGAAATAAGGGGGAGGTAGGCTGAAAAGTCCCACCTTAGAGATAACCACATGGTTGATTCCTCTGGCAACCAGAAGCCATCCTCCAAGAGCCACCTCATTAGCATAAAATCAGGTTTGGTTGGCAGGGGCTTATCATAAATAACAAAAGATGCTCTTCTCACTTCTATTACTCAGGATCTCATGGGAATCAACAGACCTTAATGAAAAATTTAACCTTTTACTTGAACAAGGGTTTTAGGCACTGTCAGGAACCAGCGATGAATAGCAGATACATTTTTTCATTATATTATAGTATCATACCTCACTTCTGAATCCATCCCCACTCCACCACTGCCAAGGGTTTCTCCCAGGTGAACCCCAGTCTAATTCCTTTTTCTCCCAGGCCTCCAGACAGCCTGGTGTGTAAAAGATGGCAGCCAGAATTTCCTGGGCATAAGGTCCGTCTGAAGAACAGAGCTGGGGCAGAGGCCAGAACTAAGAGAAGTAGCTGGGGACATCTCTAAGTCAGCTATCTTCTAATTGGAATACAGTACCCCTGGAGTGCAGGAAAACTTTTCAGGGACTAACAGGCATAGACAGTTTTTAAAAGGAATCAATTTCCTGATCCTCAACTTCCTTGTGAATTCCTTACTAAAAACCATCTGCCCAAGGATGTGCCTGGGATGAAGTGCCCCATCTCATCTCCTTTTCAAAATCTTCTTTTTCCATTTTATAAAAGCAGCATATATACCTACCACATGATCCAGCTATTCTATTTCTAGGTTTGACTCAAGAAAAATGGAAATATATTTCCATACAAGGAAGGACTTGTACATGACTGTTCATAGCACCTTTATTTAAAACAGCCAAAACCAAAAACAATCCCAATGATCTTCAACAGATTAATGAATTGTAGTACATCCACAGGATAGAATACTACTCAGCAATAAGAAGGAATGAACTACTGATACACACATCCCACCAAAAAGTACATGCTATATGATGATTCTATCCATATAAAATTCTAAAAAATGCAAACTAATCTGTAGTAACAGAAAGCAGATTAGTAGTAGCCTGAGGACAAAAGAGCAGGAGTGAGGCACTGCTTAGCACAAGGAAACATTTGGGGATAACAGATACGTTCTCTACCTTGCTTGTGCTGATGGGTTCCTAGGTATCAAAACTCATCCAACTGTAAAGTTTTAATATGTATAACTTATTATATATATTATGTATACATATATATGTCAATTATACCTCAATAAATCTATTTTTAAGTGAAATTAAAAACATGAATAATTTCTCACCAGCAGAACTTCTCTATAAGAAATGTTCAAGAGGCCGGGCGCAGTGGCTCACTCCTGTAATCCCAGCACTTTGGGAGGCTGAGGCAGGCGGATCACCTGACGTCTGGAGTTCGAGACCAGCCTGGCCAACACTGCAAAACCCCATCTCTACTAAAAATACAAAAATTAGCCGGGCATGGTGGCAGGTGTCTGTAATCCCAGCTACTCGGGAGGTTGAGGCAGGACAATCGCTTGAACCCAGGAGGTCGAGGTTGCAGTGAGCCGAGATCACACCACTGCACCCCAGCCTGGGCGACAGAGCAAGGATCCATCTCAAAACAAAACAAAACAAAAACAAAAGAAATGTTAAAGGAAGTTCTTTACATTACATTATAAATAATGTAATAATGTATAATAATTCATAATGTATAAGTTCTTTACATTATAACATTATAATGTTTTAACATTATAAAGGAAAACTATATAAGTTACAAAACTAGATATGCTTGGAGGTACTTAGCTTTCCTTTTCTAAGTGCTGTTAATTTTTTCTTTTCTTGTCTTTTCTTTTTCTTTTTTCTTTTGAGATGGGGTCTCACTCTGTGGTCCAGGCTAGAGTGCAGTGGTGCAATCTTGGCTCACTGCAGCCTCAACCTCCTGGGCTAAGCAATCCTCTTGCCTCAGCCTCCCAAAGTGCTGGAATTACAGGCATGAGCCCTATGCCTGGCTGTTAATATTAATTTTTCAGTTTTCAGCTTTGGAGCCATAATACAGCTATCTAAATAGGTGAAGTAGCATTGGCTACACATTCAGCCAAAGAGTTGGTTGAATTCAACTCCTGGCTAAGGCCAGGAGTTCAAGACCAGCCTGGGCAACAATGTAACAAGACCCTGTCTCTACAAAAAAAATTTTTTTGAGACGGAGTTTTGCTATTGTTGCCCAGGCTAGAGTGCAATGGCACGATCTCGGCTCACCGCAACCTCCATCTCTCGGGTTCAAGCAATTCTCCTACCTTAGCCTCCCAAGTAGCTGGGATTACAGGCATGCACTACCACGCCCAGCTAATTTTGTACTTTTAGTAGAGACAGGGTTTCTCCATGTTGGCCCGACCTCAGGTGATCCTCCTGCCTCAGCCTCCCCAAGTGCTGAGATTACAGGTGTGAGCCACTGCACCCAGCCAAAAGAATTTTTTTTAAAGTAGCTAGGCATGGTGGTACACACCTGTAGCTAAGAGGCTGCGATGGGAGGATCTCAAAAGCCCATAGGTTTGAGGCTGCAGTGAGCTATAATTGCATCAGTACACTCCAGCCTGAGTAACAGAGTGAGGCCTTTTCTCTCTCTCTCTCTGTCTCTGTCTCTCTCTCTCCCTCTCTCAAAACAAAGGTGAACTACGCTGTAGCATCTGCATCATTCACAATAGCTAAGATATGGAAACAATTGAAATGCCCATCAATGGATAAACAGATGAAATAAATATGGCATATACACACAATGGAATACTACTCAGCCTCAAGCAGAAAATTATGTCATATTCAACAACATGGATGAACCTAGAGGACATTATGCTAAGTGAAATAAGCATAAGCCAGGCATACAAAGGCAAACACCACATGATATATGGAATCTAAAAAAGTTGAACTCATACACGTAGAGAGTACCAGAGGCTGGAGGGAGTGGGTTAGATAGAGAAAGGAGGTGCCAGTTAAAGGGTACAAGGTTGTGGTTAGACAGGAGTAGTAAGTTCTGGTGATCTATTGCATAGCATGGTGACTACAATTCATAATAATGTATTGTGTATTTCAAAATAACAAAAAGAGTGGATTTTAAATGTCCTCACCACAAAGAAATAAGTATTTGAGGTAATAGATGTGTTAATTACCCTGATTTTTTCATTCCACAACATATACATGTATTGAAACATCACACTGTATCCCACGAACATATACAATTATTATCTGTTAATTAAAAATTTAAAAAAAAGAACTGAAAACTTACATTTGTTAAAAAAATAAAGTCACATTTGTCATTCCCTGTCCCACACTTTTGTTACACAAGAATTTATGAGAAAGAGGAGTGTGGCATGATGGTTACAAAATTACTACTCATTCTAAAATGTTTAGTTAGATTAAGCAAACCAGTTTTTCCACAGTAAAACAAATCACTAAGACTGGTTTTGAGTACAAGGAAAAAGGGCAGTTGTCTTAAATCTCTTTAAACAGATGAAGTAAGCTTAAGATCTTTACTTGCTCCAACATAAAATTCCAACAATTAAATGTTTGGCTTGAGGAACAGCACTTCTCATATGCCAGAGAAATCAAGTGACTGTCCTGTCTTTGATCCTAGAGAATTTTTTTTCTCCAGATCAGACCGACATGCCCCAATGCCTACATGATTAAAAACAAAGGTGACAAAATTACAACTGAAAACTAATTGAAAGTAACTTAAAAATAATTACTGTTGGCTCTGTATGCCTAAAATTAAGAAAAGATTGGTATCAGAATTAAGCAAGGTGAGAAGGATCGCATGGGAATCAACAGACCTTAATGAAAAATTTAACCTTTTACTTGAACAAGACAAAGCCTAGAGCTTCATAGCTTTCCCCAGAAAACTTGGAAACTTAATAGCTACTTAGGGAGAAAGAAGTATGAAATGCATTATAATAAGACTGTTGCATCAGAAAGTTAATTTACTATGTGCATCTGTTAATTAAAATATGCTACTTTAAGAAAAAAAAAACAGAATAAACAGTAACTGTCAATGCTTAAGTCTCCAATAACTGAAGCAAAATTAAACCAGGGAAAGGCTTGTTGCTAGCCTCTTGTACAACTCACAAATATATATATACACATATATCTTTTTTTTGGAAACAGGGTATTGCTTTGTTGCCTAGGTTGGAGTGCAGTGGCACAATCATGGCTCACTGCAGCCTCCATCTCCCATGCTCAAGCAATCCTTCCACCTTAGCTTTTTGAGTAGCTGAGACTATAGGTGTGTACCACCATGCCCAGCTAACTAAAAAAAAAATTTTTTTTGTAGGGACAGGGTCTCACTATCTCACTATGTTGCCCAGACTGGTCTCAAACTTCTGGGCTCAAGGGATCCTTCTGCCTTGGCCTCCCAAAATGCTGGGATTACAAGCATGAGCCACCGCACTCAGCCACAAATATTTTTTGAGCATAGTATTATTTAGTATTGCTCTAGGCACTGCAGCTCCAACATGAACAAAACAGACAAGACCTCTGCTCTCATGGAGCTTACACTCTACCATACAAAAAAAAAAAAACACTCTACCATACAAGAGAAAAAACAGGGCAAGAAGATACAAAATGAATGGAGATAGGAAGGCTTCTTGGAGGACATGACATTTGAGTTAAAACCTGAATGATGAGAGACAGCCAGGTGACAATCTGGGAACAGAACTCTCCAGGCAAGGATAATACAAAGGTATTATAAAAACGTTTAATGGACTATCGCTAAACTAAGTACGTCTAATAAAAAGCATTATCCAGTGATGCCTATGTGTGCTGCAATTTGAAAATCATTGACTGAAAAACAACTCTAATCAGCAAATAAATGGTATGAAATGATCAGGATTAAAATAAGAATATTCATTTATGATAAGAAGCATTTTATTGAATGCTAAGCATAAGTTGCACACTGTGCTAAATTATATATAGTCTCATTTTCTGGCTGAAGACATATTGTGAGATAGTCATGACATTTATAAGTAACCATATTTAAACTATCTTTGTGATAGGGTAGGTCAAAAAGATAAAGATACTCAACTTTCCTCTTAATGCAAAATTTGAAATACCAGGTTAGCATTTCACTTACTGATCTTTAAAAATGTTTATGATTCATATCTAAGGTTGGTAAGGGCAAGAATGAAAAAATCCTCTCATTTCATGTAGTTGTGTGAAAAACTAGTTTAATTTTTTAATGGACAAAAATTATATTTATGGTATATAACATGATGTTTTGATATACATATGTTTTGACATAGTGGCTCACACCTGTAATCCCAGCACTTTGGGAGGCTAGGTCAGGAGGATCACTTAAGGCCAGAGTTCAAGACTAGCCTGGGCAACATAGTGAGAACCCAGCCTCTGTATTAAAAGAGAAATAAATAAATAAGGCTGGGAGTGGTGGCTCATGCCTGTAATCCCAGCACTTTGGGAGGCCAAGGCGGGTGGATCACTTGAGGCCAGAGTTCAAGACCAGCCTGGCCAACATGGTGAAACCCCGTCTCTACTAAAAATACAAAAATTAGGCAGGCATGGTGTTGCACGCTTGTAATCCCAGCTACTCAGGAGGCTGGGGCACAAGAATTGCTTGAACCAAGGAGGAGGAGGTTGCAGTGGGCGGAGATCGAGACACTGCACTCCAGCCTGGGCAACAGAGTGAGACTGTCTCAAAAAAAAAAAAAAAAAGAAAAGAAATGTTCATTATATATTGTTTATGGTAGTGAAAAACTAGAAATAGTCCAAATGTCCATCGATAAGGGATTAATCATGAAACATCTATAATATGTAATACTATGCAGTACTAAAAAAAAAAAAAGAGTAATGATGCAAATTGAAGTACACTGAAATGAAAAAATGTCCAGCGCATACTATAAAGGAAAACACTGCATAACGATTTGTATATAATTTTTTTTTTTTTGAAATGGAGTCTCGCTCTGTTGCCCAGGCAGGAGTACAACGACACAATCTCAGCTCACTGTAACCTCCGTCTCCCAGGTTCAAGTGATTCTCCTGCCTCACCCTCTCTAGTAGCTGGGATTACAGGCACCCGCCACCACGCTCAGGTAATTTTTCTATTTTCAGTAGAGATGGGGTTTCACTATGCTGGTCAGGCTGGTCTCGAACTCCTGACCTCAGGCCATCCACCCGCCTCGGCCTCCCAAAATGCTGGGATTATAGGCATGAGAAACCATGCCCGGCCCCATATAATTTTTTTTTAAGGCCATGGAGGGCCAGGGTGGGTGGCACTGGGCTCCAAGCTCCCCATGCCCACCAGGTCTGCAAAATATCAGCTGTATGTCATTTGTCATGTTAATAAAACTGTTAATAAAGAATTTATAGAAACATACATACACGTTTGCAAATGCATAGAAAATATATAGAAGGATACATACTAAGCTATTCTCTTACAATTGGAATTGGTGAGGGAGGAGAGAGAAAAAAGGAAAAACAGGAGGCTTCTTTTTACATTTCATAAATTTTTGCACTACTTTTTTTCCTGAACAGTGAACATGAATTACTTCAGGAACACTGTTTTAAAAAATGAGAATGTGTTTATGTTTACCTATAGCTTGGAGCTTCAATAATGACTTTCCAGAGTTCTTTATATCAGGGAAGATAGAAATGATCCCAAATATTGAGCTAAATATTATGACATTCCTTAAAATGAAATTCTATTTGTATAACAATTAACAGAAAACTATTGTAAAAAAAGTAGTATATTTAGGGTATCTTCTCTCTTTTTTTATTTCCACAGGTTTTCAAGGAGCAGGTGGTGTTTGGTTACATGAGTAAGTTCTTTTAGTGGTGACTTCTGAGATTTTGCTGCACCTATCACCTGAGCAGTGTACACTGTACCCAATATGTAGGCCTTTATCCCTCACCCCCAACCCACCCTTTCTTTAGGGTACCTTTTAACTAGACTTCCATAATAGTCATGTAAAATAAAATTTAATGTGATCTGCAAAGCTCTTGGGGATCTAGTCTCATGCTTCTCAAACAAATTTCTGTATTCATACAACTCACCCGTGGAGCCTGTTAAACTGTAGGCCAATTCATACTTCACCACTTCATACTTCAGATACAGTGAATTACTGCTTTTCACTCATCATGTTCTTCACATTTCTGTGCCTTTCTACATATTCTTCTTCAGCCTATATGGTTTTCTCCTCACCTCCTCTACCTCAAAAACTTCTACTCTGTTACAGGTTTATGTCAAACATTGCAGATGTATTATAGATGTGTCTTCCTTTGTATTCCTCAAGGCCCCTATGCGTTTATGTTCCAGAATTTATCACATTTGTTACACATGTGTCCATCTCCCTATCAGACTATGGGTTTGAGGATAGGAAATGTCTGTCCTCAGCACACAGATATTTGCTTCTTTTTCCCTTTTTCTTTCTTTTTTTTTTTTTTTTGAGACAGGGTCTTGCTTTGCTTGCTTTGTTGCTGGAGTGCAGTGGCACAATCAGGGCCCATCTTCAGCCTTGACCTTCCAGGCTCGAGCAATCTTCCCACCTCAGCCTCCCAAGTAGCTGGGACCACAGGTGCACGCTACCACCAGATAAGTTTTAAAAACTTTTTGTAGAGACAGGGTCTCACAATGTTGCCCAGGCTGTTCTCAAACTCCTGGCCTCAAGCAATCCTCCCACCTCAGACTCTAAAGTGCTGGGATTACAGGCGTAAGCCTACATATATGATAAATGTTTTCTGAGTACAAGTCACTGAGGTATCAGGTTTCTGCCACTACTTTGAAATAATGATTGTCAAAATCACTTTCATTCCACAATATTTTCTTTAAGGTAATATTCAGCTTAAAAATAGGTAATCTCTTAAATTAAAATATAAGACAACACATATTCAAAATTAAAGTGAAGCTGGGGGCCAGGTGTGGTGGCCCATACCTGTAATCCCAGCACTTTGGGAGGCCTAGGTGGGCAGATCACTTGAGGCCAGGAGTTCAAGACCAGCCTGGGCAACACGGCAAAACCCCGTCTCTACTACAAATACAAAAATTATCTGGGTGTGGTGGTGCACCCCTGTATCCCAGCTACTTGGGAGGCTGAGGCACAAGAATTGCTTGAACCTTGGAGGCGGAGGTTACAGTGAGCTGATATCATGCCACTACACTCCAGCCTGGGCGACAGAGCCAGACTCTGTCTCAAAAAAAAAAAATTTAAATTAAAAAATAAAGTGAAGCTGAATGCAGTGGCTCCTGCTTGCAATCCCAGTACTTTGGGAGGTCATGATGGGAAGATCACTTGAGGCCAGGAGTTGGAGACCAGCCTGGACAACTTAGCAAGACCCTGTCTTTAAAAAATAAAAAAAAAAAATTTAATTCAAAGAAAAAACAAAATTAAAGTAAAACATCACACTATTTGATGAGATGCTTACCTTATGCTTAAAAAAGTCAAGTTAGGCTGGGCACAGTGGCTCACGCCTGCAATGCCAGCACTTTGGGAGGCCGAGGTGGGCAGATCATAAGGTCAGGAGTTTGAGACCAGCTTGGCCAACATAGCGAAACCCCCGTCTCTACTAAAAATACAAAAATTAGCCGGGCATGGTGGTGCACACTTGTAGTCCCAGCTACTTGGGAGGCTGAGGCAGGAGAATCGCTTGAACCCGGGAGGTGGAGGTTTTGGTGAGCCAAGATTAGGCCACTGCACTCTAGCCTGGGCGATAGAGCGAGACTCCGTCTCAAAAAAAAAAAAAAAAAGTCAAGTTAATTTCACATCATTTTGGCGTAAAAGGGGCAAAAAAAAGATTGTGCTCTTCAGTATTCTTTTAAATACTTAAAGAAAAAACAAGAATGGCATCAAATTTCTAATAGTCTTTCCTCTTAAACTTTTTAGGACTCATTATATTTTTACAACAAATGATAGAATAAGATCTTAAAATGCTTACACAGGCAGCCCTGTCTTTACCACTCACCTTCCTCATCTATCCATTTCATGGTGAAGAGCTGTTCGTTGTCAAAAGAACACATGTCTCGAACCTCATTGCAAAGGCCCTCAAAGGAGATGGAAGGTTCAAAATGTGTTATCATGATATCCCTGAAAAAGAAAAGGAGTTTTCAGTTTGAAAATGATTAAAAATAATAATGCTGTATATATTACTGAATGCTTGACAATTTGATGAACTTCAGTAATTTTGTGTGTGCATCAACATGTATTGCTTTCAGTAAATGATTTCATTCAAGTAAAAATTAAAATATCAAGCTGGGCACGGTGGCTCATGCACTTTGGGAGGCTGAGCTGGGCAGATCACTTTAGCCCAGGAGCTCAAGACCAGCCTGGGCAACATGGTGAAACCCCGTCTCTACTAAAAATACAAAAAAAAAATTAGCCAGAGGCTGAGGTGGGAGGATCCTTCTCAGGGGGGGAACATGGGAGGTGTAGGTTACAGTGAGCTGAGATCACATCACTGCACTCCAGCCTGGGCAACAGAGGAGACTGTGTCAAAAAAATAAATAAAAACAAAAGAAAACAAAAAAATCAAATACATATATACACACTTGCATAATTATATTGTTTTAAATAGTTTTTAAAAATAAAAATAGAAAATAGCTTATTTTAATGACAAAAGAGAATTGCTTGATTTAAAGCAATTTTTCTTTCAAAGAACCCTCAAGGTTACTAGTATGAGGGCATAGGGTTGAGAGAATGTATTCTGGAATTAAATTAGAAGAAGAAAATTCTATGAAATTTCTCTGTCAAAGAATAAGTGTAAAATTATCTTTCTTGAATAAGAGGGAAAAAATTAGTTACACTGGATATCATCGAAATATAACTTCCTTATCAAAGTCCACATTTAAAATTAACAGAAAGGTAAACATATTTGTAAACAACAAGGCTTTTTCATAAATTTTACTTTTCAAAAGCTAAAAAACACTTATCAGAACATACAAATACTTTTAAGACATCTGTGTAATACTTAAAAAGTATAAGTATAAGGCTGGGCGTGGTGGCTCACACCTGTAACCCCAGCACTTTGGGAGCCTGAGGCAGATGGATCACCTGAGGTTGGGAGTTCGAGACCAGCCTGACCAATATGGAGAAACCCTGACTCTACTAAAAATAAAAAATTTGCTGGGTGTGGTGGCACATGCCTGTAATCCCAGCTACTCAGGAGGCTGGGGCAGAAGAATCGCTTGAACCCGGGAGGCGGAGATTGCAGTGAACCAATCACACCATTGCACTCCAGCCTGGGCAACAAGAGCGAAACTCCATCTCAAAAAAAAAAAAAAAAAAAGTGTAAGTATAGGCTGGGTGTGGTGGCTCACACCTGTAATCCCAGTACTTTGGGAGGCTGAGGTGGGCGGATCACTAGAGGTCAGGAGTTCGAAATCAGCCCGGCAAACACAGTGAAACTCCGTCTCTACTAAAAATACAAAAATTAGCCAGGCATGGTGGTGGGTGCCTATAATCCCAGCTACCTGGGAGGCTGAGGCAGGATAACCGCTTGAACCCAGGAGGCGGAGGCTGCAGTGAGCCGTGATTGCGTCACTGCACTCCAGCCTGGATGATAAAGTGAGATTCTGTTTAAAAAAAAAAAAGTTTAAGTATAGATACCCATCAGAGACTCAATGAAGGAGTTATGCTTTATCAACTACCACTCCTTAAGTTCCAGGAACTAAAACATTCAAGGGAGTTTTATATAAACACTTAGCTCTCAGTAATTGCGAAACCACTATGTTCATAACATTCCACAATCACCAGATCCTTGTTACAGTACCAAAGCTAAAAATGAACTGCAAAATAAAGATATTACATTCTAAAGGTATAAAACAAATTATGCACGTATGATGTTTTTTCCAGTTTAACTTCAGCACTAGCATAAATTATTTTACCACTGATCCTCAACAGAATATAATCTGCTTTATCACAAAGATTCCCAAAATGGCAAATTTAGATATGGTTTTAGCTGAATTTTTTTAAGCATTTTTTATTTTGCTATTGAGCTTCAGAAGACAAACTGCTTTCAATGTGCCTATATTCTAAAATATAGAATCTATTATAAAGTTTTTCCTTAGGACTAATTGCTTTTAAAAATAAACCCCCAAAAGAATCACATTCAGTCCTTCTGCTACCTCAGTGTAAGCTTTTCTTCTAAATTAGGCTATTCGAAAAAATACTTTTATTTGCAATAACCATTATAATAATTGGTTTAGGCAGGATTATCCATGAATGGTAAGACCATTGGGCAAAATGTTTTGGGGGACTAGAGTATTCATATAATCTCAAAGTATCACCCCCCAAATTATTAATTATAAAAAAGGTCATAAAGCAATTTCCACCTTTTAATAATGAAGAAGATAGTGAATTCAAAAATAACAATTGTGAAATATGAATGTAACAATAAAGTAAAAAAGCAATGTTATAAAGCCCTGTCAATGTAGTAAGGGGAAAAGAGAAATCTCTTTGAA
Source organism: Homo sapiens (assembly GCF_000001405.40). Taxonomy (NCBI): domain Eukaryota; kingdom Metazoa; phylum Chordata; class Mammalia; order Primates; family Hominidae; genus Homo; species Homo sapiens. The sequence continues at coordinate 170,232,857 of NC_000003.12, read as the reverse complement.
GTTCAAGGTCCAGTTTTGGCTGGGCAAGGTGGCTCGTGCCTGTAATCCCACCTACTCAGGATGCTGAGGCGGGAGGATCACCTCAGGAGTTCAAGGCCAGCCTCAGTGACAGAACAAGACCCTGTCTCTAAAAAAAATTTTTTTGTAATTAGCCAAGCATAGCGTAGTCCCAGCTACTCACGAGAATCATTTGAGCCCAGGAGTTCAAGGCTGCAGTGAGCCATGATCGAGCCATTGGACTTCAGCTTGGGCGACAGAGCAAGACTCTGTCTCTAAAAAAAAAAACACACCCAGCTTTGTATTGTGGGTTAGTAAGTCTCAATGTTATCTGAAAAATGGAGATAATCATATCTGCCTCTGAGTATTATCATGAAGACTAAATAAGTGCAGCTTGAGCCCAGGAAGTTGAGGCTGCAGTGAGCTGTGACTATGTCATTGCACTCTAGCCTGGGTGATGGAGGAAGACACTGACTCAAAAAATGAAAAATAAATGAAAATAAATGAGTGCAGCCAGGCAAGGTGGCTCATGCCATAATCCCAGCACTTTGAAAGGCCAATGTGGGAGGATCGCTTCGGTACAGGAGTTCGAGGCCTGCCTGGGCAACACAGGGAGACCTTGTCTCTACAAAAAAATTAAAAATTAGCCAGACATAGTGGTGTGTGCCTACAGTCCCAACTACTTGGGAGGCTGAGGTAGGAGGACTGCGTGAGCCTGGGCAGTTAAGGCTGCAGTGAGCTGTGATTACACCACTGTACTCAGCCTGGGTGACAGAGTAGAAATGTGCCTCAAAAAAAAAAAAAGTGCAAAATACTTATCATGGTTCTTTTTCTTTTGTTCCACTTTTTTCAGTTGAGTTTTTTTTGAGACAGAGTCTCGCTCTGTCACCCAGGTTGAAGTGCAGTGGCACAATTACAGGCGTGAGCCACCACACTCGGCCTCAGTAACATTTCTGAATAACACTAACTTTAATTCTTTAAAAGCTTTTTTCTTTAATTGACAGAAATTTTTCTATTATATTTCACTAAGATAAGAGATTATTACTATAATTCAATACTGTCTAGAAAATTCTAGCCTATGGCTAAAAATAAATAAGGCTGGGCGCAGTGGCTCACACCTGTAATCCTAGCACTTTGGGAGGCCAAGGTGGGTGGATTACCTGAGGTCAGGCGTTCGAGACCAGTCTGGCCAACATGGCGAATCCCCATCTCTACTAAAACTACAAAAATTAGCCAGGTGTGGTGGTGCACGCCTGTAATCCTAGCTACTCAGGAGGCTGAGGCAGGAGAATCACTTGAACTTGGGACGCGGAGGTTGCAGTGAGCCGAGATCACGCCACTACACTCCAGCCTGGGCGACAGAGTGAGACTCTGTCTCAAAAAACATAAAATAAATAATAAATAAATAAATAAGATATAGAAAAGAAGAGGCAAAATTGCTACTTGCAGATGACATTATCTAGCTTAAAAATTCTAAGACAGTTAAATTATTAGTAAGGTGGAAAGTTTAATTTAAACATACAAAAAGAAAACAGTATGTAATAGGTCTACAAGAAGACCCCATTCACAAAAGCACATGATTATAAAATATATAGGAATAGGCCGGGCACGGTGGCTCAAGCCTGTAATCTCAACACTCCGGGAGGCCGAGGCAGATGGATCACCTGAGGTAAGGAGTTCCAGACCAGCCTGGCCAACATGGTGAAACCCCATTTTCACTAAAAATACAAAAATTAGCCAGGCATGGTAGCGCCTTGCCTGTAATCCCAGCTACTTGAGAGACTGAGACTGGAGAATCGCTTGAACCTGGGAGGCGGAGGTTGCAGTGAGCCAAGATCACGCCACTGCGCTCCAGCCTGGGTGACAGTGCAAGGCTCCATCTCAAAAAAAAAAAAAACAAAAAAAAAAAATTAAATAATGAATCAAGCCATTCCATAACATATATCAAAGTTAACTATAATATTACAATAATTAAACCAATAGTGGTATGTGCAAAAATAGATCTCTCCCCTAAAATCAATGAAACAATAGAAAGTACCTACGCACATTGTGGGAAATTTAGTACATAACAGAGTTACCATTTCAAATCAGTGGTGAAAGGACAATCTGCCCAATAATGGTATTAGAATAAATTTTGGAGAAAAAAAAAGTTGTGTCAGTACCCTATAAATGACTAAACCCCAAAATACCAGATTCACTGAAAAGATAATCACTTTAAAAGTTTCATAATAAGCCAGGCGCAGTGGCTCACGCCTAAAATCCCAGCACTTCGGGAGGCCACAGCGGGTGAATCACTTGAGGTCACGAGTTTGGGACCAGCCTGGCCAACATGGCAAAACCCTGTCTCTACTAAAAATAAAAAATTAGCCGGACATGGTGGCGCATGCCTGTAATCCCAGCTACTTGGGAGGCTGAGGCAGGAGAATCACTTCAACCCAGGAGGCAGAGGCTGCAGTGAGCCAGGATCGTGCCACTGCACTCCAGCCTGGGCGACTGAGCAAGACCTTGTCTCAAAAAACAAACAAAAATTAGCCGGGTGTTGTGGCGTGCGCCTATAATCCCAGCTACTTAGGAGGCTGAGGCAGGAGGATTGTTAGAACCCAGGAGGCAAAGGTTGCAGTAAGACGAGATCACGCCACTGGGTTCTACCCTGGGCAACAAAGCAAGACTCTGTCTCAAAAAAAAAAAAAAAAAAGTTGCATAATAGAAGAAAAATAGAATATTTTTAGATGAAAAACACTTTTACCTAAGACAGTAAATCCAGAAACTATCAAGGAAATTTTTAAAAAGGACAGGTTTGATGACATAAAAACGAAAAACTCCAGACTAGCAACAGATTGGGGAAATGCTGGCAACTTTAACAAAATGTCAATGTCCTGTCAACAAATTAATAAGAAAAATAATACAATAGAAAATGGGTAAAATAGGAACAATCCAGAAGAAATACAAATGATCATTAATATATAAAAGATACTTGTAAAAATAAATTACCATTTTTTGCCAATCTGACAGTCAAAAATTTAAAAGACAGATAACATGCAATGGGAATATAAGGCAGAAGCTTCACTAGTCCTGTTGTTAAGAATGTAAATTAAGCTCTTTTGGGAAACAATATCATATTTCAAGATAGGCATATCTTTGACCATATTTACAAGAATATGTATTAAATATAAGGAGGTTCCTTCAACATTATTTGAAATAGTGAGTTGATGAAGACAACTTTAAATGTTCATCAATCCGAAAAAAGATTAAACATATTATGGTGGCTGGGCGCAATGGCTCATGCCTGTAATTTCTACACTTTGAGAGGCCGAGGCAGGAGAATCACTTGAGCACAGGAGCTTGAGACCAGCCCCGTCCCTACAAAACATATTAAAAAAAATTAGCTGAGCCTAGTGGCGTGAGCTAATCCTAGCTACTCAGGAGGCTGAGGTGGGAGGACTGCTTGAACCCAGAGTGGTTGAGGCTGCAGAGGGCCTAGATCATGCCACTGCACTCCAGCGTAGGCAACAGAATCAGACTCTGTCTCTTAAAACAACAACAACAACTGTAGAACACTGTATTACCAACTATAAAGAGGTCTGTCTACCCTGGAATGAAAAGATGACCACGATTTTTAAAATCAAGTTGCAGATGCATGTGTGGAAATATGAACTCATTTATTGGAAAAATAAAAGGGTATGTCTGTGTGTGTGTATGCACATACATATCTATACTTATAAATATACCGATATGATATAGAATATCCCTAACTGTTAACAATGGCTATCTCTAGAAAGTGGGAGTGAGACAGCCATAAAAAATAATGAAATCACGTCTTCTACACCAGCATGGATGGAACTGAAGGCCATTATCCCTAGTCAAAAAAATCAGAAACAAAAAGCCAGATACCACATATTCTCACTTATAAGTGAGAGCTAAACAAAGGGTACACATGGACATAAAGAGGGAATAGTAGACATTGGAGACTACAAAAGGTGGGAGGGGGGTGAGGGTTGAAAAATACCTATCGGGTACAGGTAATTTTCTGGGTTTTACTGTTTACTGTTCCGGTGATGGGTACACTAAGTGACCAGACTTCATGGCTACATGATACAAACATGTAAGAAAGAAAGAAATCTGCACTTGTACCCTTTAAATATATAAAAATAAACTAATAAAATAAAATAAGGTGGGAGTGAGAGACTACAGGGGAACTTTATATGTGTGTGTATGTATATGTGTGTGTGTGTGTGTGTGTGTGTATATATATATATATTTGTGTGTGTGTATGTCTGTGTGTGTGTGAGACAGGGTCTCACTCTGTTGCCCAGGCTGGAGTGCAGTGGTGCAATCACAGCTCACTGCAGCCTTGACTTCCTGGCCTCAGGTGATTCTCCCACCTCGCCCTCCTAGTAGCTAGGACTACAGGCTAATTTTTTTGTAGAGATAGGGTTTCACCACATTCAGCCCAGGCTGGTCTCCAATTCCTGGGCTCAAGTGATTCACCTGCCCTGACCTCCCAAAGTGCTGGGATTACAGGCATGAACCACCATACCCAGCCTCTTTCTGTATTTCTATATTTTTAAAATTTAGTTTTAGTGCCTTGCCTTTGTGATCTGTATTTGGCCACTGGTGTCATTTTTGTTTCTATTATCGTTCTCAGCCACATTCCTACATAGGTTAGCTGTCAAGCACAGTGCTTGCAACACAGAGTAGACAGACAATAAATAATTGCTCCATTCTTTCTGACATTTCCTCCTGAATGCCTCATAAACACCTAGAACTCAAAATTCAGTGAATTGTTCCAGCCAATTAATTAACTTCTCCCACAAATCTCTTCCACATTCCCCAGTCTCTCTTAAACGAGAAACCTATGAGTTGTCCAACTCCCGTCACCCCTACAAGACTATCTTTAATTCTACTGATACTACCCCTTAAAATTTCCACCGAATCCATACACTCTTTTCTCTCTCCTTAAAATATCTCATCTGGACTACTTCAAAAGCCTCCAAATTAGTTTCATCCATCACCAATCCATCTCCCATACTAATTTCAAGTGTTATCTTTCTAAAATGCAAATCTGATCATGTATTTCTCTTACTTAGAATTTTCATCAATGAGAAAAAGTCTAAACTCTGCAGTATGACATTCAAGGGTCTTTACAATCTAGCCCCTGTGAACTTTCTTAGCCTCATTTCTCATCAGTGCCCACTTCATACTTTATATCCTAATAAGGAATGAATATGAGACTAACAGCCAAAGTGATCTTAATTCTGCAAACTTACCATGTGGTTGTTTAATGCCTATAACACCCACCTAACATCATTATTCACCAGGCAAACTCCTAGTTATCCTTTAAAAGCCTCAGACATTTCCTCTAGGAAGGCTTCCATCACCCCAAACTCCTCCCCAACGTCTATTCCTGCAAATACCTTACATAGGTACTTCAAATTAAATTGTTTCTATTGTAACTCTTATATGTCCTTCCCTCCACAAGTCTCTTAATTCCTTAAAGGCAGAGCCTTACCTACCTCTACATTCTCTGTGCCTACGACAGCATCATGTGCCTGGATTACGGACGTTCAACAATATTTACTAAACTCAGTTTGAATGATCTCTGGTTATATTTGAAATCTTAAGCAAGACTGGAATTTTTAAAATCTATGTTTAAATTAGGCTCATTTCAATCATAAAAAAAACAGACACTAAAGTTGTAAAAGGAGGGCTGCAGTTGCATTAGAAAGCCATCATGAACTAAGGACCTGTGGGGAGAATTTTTCTGTGCAGAGTTGCTCCTTTCTCCTTTGCTTCCTCAGTTTCTGCTTCTTCACATCTTTCATTTGCACATTGTCAGTTCTGGCCTCGCCAGACTCTCCCTCCAACTCCAGCTTCAGTTCCCAGTGCTGACCAATTTTATCTCCATATTTTCTCATTCAAATTTCTGAGGGTTTTTTGTGTTTGGTTTGGGTTTTTTGGCACCAGGCTAGCATGCTCTATTTTTTTCTCTCTTTGGCCAAGCTATGGATCAGCTGCCCTAGGATTAGGTGCCATGGCTGAAGCTCTAAGACCAATTAGCTAACATCCCCCCAACCCTCAAGATACCACTTGTATTTCCTCAGAACCATTACTAAAGTATATTGCTAAAATAATCTTGCATTTCTTTCAAAAACAAGTCTTGCCAAGACTTGTTCACAGTAAGAAAAATCCTACATACTTCTTCACTGAAGCAGCTATTCCAAATATGCAAAGAGTTAATCTTTTATTTCTAGATGTGCACAGAAGGAATCCTCTGTATTGTTATTACTACTTGACAGCAGCGGTTTAAAAAGAACTTTCACAAGCTTTCTGCAAAAATTTCCATACATATATAATGTAAAGAAATGAGCAGTCCAGATGTTGCCTTGTTAAAGTCTATCCCATAATAGCAAGTAATTTTATATAAGGATAAGCACATACATTGACAGTTTATCACTAATTAATGAAACCTGTTTCTCTTCCTCCAAACTACTAGCACTAGGTAATAACTGAAGGCCCCTCACTGAAAAGCTTCCTTGCTAGGAAAAGACGGGTGCAGGCCATGAGAAAGGCATCTAAGTAAGATGTGGTGTCCAATAAAATTGAATTTTCAGTGCTATTAATCTCTTGCTTAAAAACTAGATGTAAATTGGCTGGGCAAGATGGCTCATTCCTGTAATCCCAACACTTTGGGAGACCGAGGTGGGTGGATCACTTGAGGTCAGAAGTTGGGAGACCAACCTGGCCAACATGGTGAAAACCCGTCTCTACTAAAATACAAAAATTAGCTGGGCGTGGTGGTGGGCGCCTGTAGTCCCACCTACTCGGGAGGCAGCCGCAGGAGAATCCCTTGAACCTGGGAGGCGGAGGTTGCAATGAGCCGAGATCACGCCACTGCACTCCAGCCCAGGTGACAGAGCGAGACTCCATCTCCAAAAAAATAAATAAATAAAATAAAATAAAATAAAAATTAGAAAAAAATTAAATGTTATTAGATCTAGAGAGATTACACGTTTTCACTGAGATCAAGCTTAACAGAATAATAACACTATACACATCTTTGAAAAGAGAGGGCAATTTTTTCACTAAAAAAAATGCTGGCTATTAAATGAGTCAACATTCACTGGAAAGAAATATTGTTAGAAAAGGGTAGTGGAGCCAGGTACAGTGGCTCACACCTGTAATCCCAGCACTTTGAGAGGCTGAGGCAGGAGGATCACTTGAGCCCAGGAGTTTGGGATTAGCCTGGGCAACACGGTGAGACCTTGTCTCTATTTAAAAAAAAAAAAAAGAAAAGAAAAGTGTAGAGGGATAGAGGAAATGCTATGTAATAATGGCCCTTCAGAAGATTGGAGAGAAAAGAAAACTTTTTCAAATGCAGAATGTTCTCACATTTCTTGGTATAAAGGAAGGATTTTCTATTTTAAAATCAGGTAGGTGTTCTAGTTAGCCAACCTGTTTATTAACTATCCTTGTCCGTGACTCATTTTAGCTTCATCTATATTAATGAGCAGCTGACTATGTAATACCACAATCATCAGTTTAGACTATACAAACACATAATCTTAACATCTAATTTCAGAGGACAGGAATTTGGTACAATTTAGAGTGCTGATATTGTCTTTAAATGAGGCTTGAAATGAAGGTACCATTAGAAAGCTTTCATTGAGCAAAGACCAGTATACAATGGGCAAGAGGTTATTTGCGCCGCAGCAAAATTTCACAGATTTTAAAAGACAATGTTACCTTGAATGTCTTGGAAAAATTGCAGTCAAACACTAAAGAAGCTGTATGTCCTTATTCTCTTCTTTTTAATAACTGGAGCAATAAGCCAAGATAATTTGCTATCTAAATTCATGAAGTACAGCAAGACTTTGATTTCTTCTCAAAGGAGTTTACAATGATTTTCATTTACTAACTGGGCCTATTTACATGTGTCAAACTAATACAAATGGGAAAATAGAAGCACTAATTTCTTACCTTTCATAGACTCATTGGAGAAGATGATCTCAATTAATAAGAATTTATTGAAAGCCTTAGGGCCAGGCGCAGTGGCTCATGCCTGTAATCCCAGCAATTTGGGAAGCCAAGACGAGCGCATCATTTGAGGCCAGGAGTTCAAGACATGCCTGGCCAATATGGTGAAACCCCGTCTCTACTAAAAATACAAAAATTAGCCGGGTGTGGTGGCACATGCCTGTAATCCCAGCTACTCAGAAGGCTGAGGCAGGCGAATTGCTTGAACCCGGGAGGCGGAGAATGCAGTGAGCCGAGATTGTGCCACTGCACTCCAGCATGGGTAACAGAGTAAGACCCTGTCTCAAAAACAAACAAACAAAAATAAAATAAAAGAATAAAGTGAAACATCTCATTCATCAAATTACAGGTAAGGGTTTAAAAAAAAAAAAGCAAAGGAAGCTTTTTTCTCACCTTGCAAAGTTCATGGCTGACCATCCTCAAGTCAAAACAGCTCTTGTGACAACTACAAACTTTAAAAAATATCCACACGTTTCTTGGTACTGATTTAAAATAAAAACCTCCTTAATCAGTTTTACCTGCTTAAACACAAAGTTATCATACTGTCCAATATAACTCCAATAAACTACTCCTGCATACAGTCAAGCTAATAATAAACAGAGGCCAGAGGCTTCATGGCAGCAAATTTAAAAGTCCTTACATCAAGGACAAAAAACCAAACACCGCATGTTCTCACTCACAGATGGGAATTGAACAATGAGAACACATGGACACAGGAAGGGGAACATCACACCCTGGGGACTGTTGTGGGGTGGGGGGAGGGGGGAGGGATACCATTAGGAGATATACCTAATGTAAATGACGAGTTAATGGGTGCAGCACACCAGTATGGCACATGTATACACATGTAACTAACCTGCACATTGTGCACATGTACCCTAAAACTTAAAGTATAATAATAAAAAAAAAAGTCCTTACATCAAATCAATACAACATTTAGGGGCTCAGATTTTCTTTGAAATCAAAACAAGAGAGGTAGTTTGAGAGTTTGCTATCTTCACTGATCCTCTCAGGAATGTAAAAGTATGCATTAAAATTTCAACCTAGCACTGCTTGAGTTTTTTAAAGCAATTTACTTCTACCTGGACAAGCAGTAAGGCAAGCCAAAGTAGCTGGGTTTTCTGTGACTTCTCAGTCTCCAACCTTTATGGTCACACTAACATTTCACGTTTCTAATGCTCCTAAACATAATTATCTCAAAAAAAAATTCAAACCACAACTGAATTTAAAGGAAGGGGGGCACTTTGCGTCACTGATAGAAAATGATTTAACACAATGAACTTAGAACTGGGTTTTTTCTTGTAACCATAGTAAGGGAGTGAAGATCAGAGAATTTAAAACTGTAACTAGGCTAGTCTCCTCACCTTGCAGTATCTCACCCTATCGGGTAGTCGTTGAAACAACACTGAGAAAGAAAGGCTCACAAAATTTTGATTTACACACATGCAACTTAATCTTGACGACACGTAAGTACCCACTGCACGTCCCTGAAAACGCATCGACTTGATTCTTAAATACAACCCCTATGTCTAATATACTGGCAGTGCAGATACACTACGTGAACACAACGGGGATGGAGGTATATCTCAGAGAACCAGAGGCGTTAGGCCTGCTGGTAATCAAAACGGACAGCTAACTGAAGAAGTCCCGTTTTCTATCCCCACAGCAAACTGAGTTAACTAAGGCATCACTTGGAATCCTCAACTCGCAACCCCAAATACACCCAGACTTAAGGATGCAAGGCCCCTACAAAGCTCTCAGGAGGCGAGTCTCTCGTCCACACCAGGTGCACCTACTCTAACCCTAGCTTCCTTCTCGGACCCTACTCTGGCCCCTCGGCTCCCCGCACCGCCATACCTGGGGGCGCCCCCAGTACTGCATCCCCTTGCTTCGCCCCCACCCCTATCACTTCGTCACTCACCCTGAGTCACCGGAGCCGCCCGCCCGCCCAGCCCAATCCGCCCACAACACCTCCAGCCCCTCACCCTCCCCTCCTCCAGGCCGAGTGGAGCCGGCCTGTCCCCTCCCGCCCACCGCCCTGTCCCAGGACACTCACCCGCGGTAGTAGGCTTTCACCCGGACCTGGTGGGAATGGTCCCCGCTGCCGCCGCCTGCGACCGTGTGGGACATGGTGCTGCTGTCCCTCTGGGTCGGCATCTCCTCACTCCCCCGCCTCAACGCTGGAGGCCGGGGGTGCGGGGGGGCGCTTCGGGCGCCGTGGGGGACTCCGCCGCCTGCGCTTGCCGGAGAACCGCGGCCGTCCGCCCACCTACCTGCCCACCTCGCCCGCAGCGCCGACCCAAGGGTCGCCTCGCCGGAGCAGCCGGAACCGCGCGGCTCCTCCCACTGCCCGTAGGCGCCGCCGCCTCTACAGCCGCCCGGGCCCAAGACACCTCCTGCGTCGGTCCCTCCCACTTCGCTCGCTCCAAAGGCCCACATTCCGGGGTAGGGCGGGCGCAACCATCCAGCCAGCTCAAGGAGCCTCAATACCGGGCTGAACCATCCTTACGGGGGCAGAGAAAGGGGACAGAGGGAATGGGAGACGCTGATCATGGCATCAAACACGCCGAGAGGGGTGCTTTCACGCGAGCTGTGAAAGAGACAATGACCAGCTCTAGATCACTAAAGTCTCTTCCCTGCAGGGACAATGGTAGGGACAAATTCTACGACACCTCACCCTAGCCTCGCAACTTGGTCACGTCTGCGGTCGGCCGACTTGGCACCCGGGATAGATTTGCGTGCAGGTTTCTGGGATTTGGAGTCCTCATAGGATTCTGGGACTTGAGGTTCCTTGCGCGTAGGGTGCCGCGCCTTCCCGCTGGTGAAGTCTGTCTCTCCAGCGTGCTCCCTGGAGCTGTCGGGGTGGAAAACCTGGATCCAGCTTGGGCATCTGAAGGTCCTGGAAATGACTGGGCTTCCTCACGTTCTAGACTTTATTAACTGATGAAGTCTCCCTTCTTCTAATTGCATAAATCGTCTGAATTATACATGTCTTTTGGGGGAACAAGAATTTGGTTACCTGCTCAGCATAACCTCTTTTATGGAAATAATTTAATAACATATGTAACAAATATAATAAAGGAAGAAACTCAACCAGAAAATATGATGAAAAACCGATTTTTCTTCTTTGGGGGCCCCCATATCTAGGCCCTTGTAGACTGCCCTTGCATGGAACAAGAGCCCAATGAATACTTACCCAATCAAGTCAGTCAATCCAAGAGCATTTCATTCTGTAAAAACTGGCTTACCAAAGATTAGAAAGAATCGTCCTTGGCCGGGCGCGGTGGCTCAAGCCTGTAATCCCAGCACTTTGGGAGGCCGAGGCGGGCGGATCACAAGGTCAGGAGATCGAGACCATCCTGGCTAACACGGTGAAACCCCGTCTCTACTAAAAACACAAAAAATTAGCCGGGCGTGGTGGCGGGCGCCTGTAGTCCCAGCTACTCGGGAGGCTAAGGCAGGAGAATGGCGTGAACCAGGGAGGCGGAGGTTGCAGTGAGCCAAGACTGTGCCACTGCACTCCAGCCTGGGCGACAGAGCAAGACTCTGTCTCAAAAAAAAAAAAAAAAAAAAAAAAAAAGAATCGCTCTTGTAACCTAGTCTTTGACTTTCCTAGGATCTTGGCTCTGACACATAATTTACACTGCAACTACAGGTAGCATGAATCCAGCCCCTGCAGCAGTCCTGGTGCTGAAAGAGTTGGAATAATCAAAGAAATAGCTTTCTTTACGATGATAAAATAGGCTTGGGGGACTGAGTCATCAGTTATGTGTGACACTTCAGCGTGGTACGACATCCTCCAACTGCTACAGACTTGGATTATATACTCTTACTAAAAATTCCCCTTGAGTCAGGCAAAGTGCTACATGCCTGTAGTCCCAGCCTTTGAGAGGCTGAGGCTGGAGGATCACTTGAGCCCAGGAGTTCAAGGCCAGCCTGAGCAACATGGTGAGACCCCATCTCTTAAACAAACAAAAAAATCCCATTGAAAAACTTGGTATCAGGTTTTTCAGTAATTGGAGACCTGCATCAGCAAGTTTAATACGGAGCGATTAATTATGGAATATATTATAAAATATACGGGCACCTGTAATCCCAGCT